>NC_000008.11:45500872-45682562 GCF_000001405.40 Homo sapiens
TCTATCTCGCATTCATGGGAAGATATTTCCTTTTTCCAGATAGGCTACAAAGCCCTCCAAATGTCCACTTCGAGATACTACAAAGAGAGTGCTGCACAACTGCTCTATGTGAGGGAGATATTGCCTGTATGAAGACAGTAGATATTGAATAAATATCTACTGGAAAGGTGGTGTGCCTCTTCTTTTGTCAGGACACAAGTGTTGGCAGCTGAGTAGATCCAATCTGCCTTAGAGCTGGGTCTAGGCTTTCAGTAATCTCAGAAACATGTTTATGCTGTATCTACTCAACTAACTGTGCTGAACATTTCTATTGATAGAGCAGTTTTGAGACACTCTTCTTTTGGAATCTGCAAGTGGATATTTGGATAGATTTGAGGATTTCGTTGGAAACGGGATTATATATAAAAAGTAGACAGCAGCATTCTCAGAAACTTCTTTGTGATGTTTGCATCCAGCTCTCAGAGTTGAACATTCCCTTTCATAGAGTAGGTTTGAAACCCCCTTTTTATACTGTCTGGAAGCGGGCATTTGGAGCGCTTTCAGGCCTATGCTGAAAAAGGAATTATCTACCTACAGAAACTAGACAGAAGCATTCTGAGAATCACGTTTGTGATGTGGGTACTCAACTAACAGTGTTGATCCATTCTTTTGATACAGCAGTTTTGAACCACCCTTTTTGTAGAATCTGCAAGTGGATATTTGGATAGCTGTGAGGATTTCATTGGAAACGGGAATGTCTTCATAGAAAATTTAGACAGAAGCATTCTCAGAACCTGGATTGTGATGTGAGTTCTCCACTAACAGAGTTGAACCTTTCTTTGGACAGAACTGATTTGAAACATTCTTTTTATAGAATCTGGAAGTGGATATTTGGAAAGTTTTGAGGATTTCGTTGGAAATGGGAATATCTTCAAATAAAATCTAGCCAGAAGCATTCTAAGAAACATCTTAGGGATGTTTACATTCAAGTCACAGAGTTGAACATTCCCCTTTCTCAGAGCAGGTTTGAAACAATCTTCTCGTACTATCTGGCAGTGGACATTTTGAGCTCCTTGGGGCCTATGCTGAAAAAGGAAATATCTTCCGACAAAAACTAGACAGAAGCATTCGCAGAATCACGTTTGTGATGTGTGCACTCAACTGTCAGAATTGAACCTTTGTTTGGACAGAGCACTTTTGAAACACTCTTTTTGTAGAATCTGCAGGTGGATATTTGGCTACCTTTGAGGATTTCGTTGGAAACGGTAATGTCTTCAAAGAAAATCTAGACAGAAACATCCTCAGAAACAACTTCGTGATGTTTGCAATCAAGTCACAGAGTTGAACCTTCCGTTTCATAGAGCAGGTTGGAAACACTCATTTTGTAGTATCTGGAAGTGGACATTTGGAGCGCTTTCAGGCCTATGGTGTAAAAGGAAATATCTTCCCATAAAAGCGACTTAGAAGCTATCTCAGGAACTTGTTTATGATGCATCTAATCAACTAACAGTGTTGAACCTTTGTACTGACAGAGCAGTTTGAAACACTCTTTTTTTGGAATCTGCAAGTGGATATTTGGATCGCTTTGAGGATTTCGTTGGAAACGGGATGCAATATAAAACGTACACAGCAGCATACTCAGAAAATACTTTGCCATATTTCCATTCAAGTCACAGAGTGGAACATTCCCATTCATAGAGCAGGTTTGAAACACTCTTTTTGGAGTATCTGGAAGTGGACATTTGGAGCGCTTTCTGAACTATGGTGAAAAAGGAAATATCTTCCAATGAAAACAAGACAGAAGCATTCTGAGAAACTTATTTGTGATGTGTGTCCTCAACAAACGGACTTGAACCTTTCGTTTCATGCAGTACTTCTGGAACACTCTTTTTGAAGATTCTGCATGCGGATATTTGGATAGCTTTGAGGATTTCGTTGGAAACGGTCTTACATGTAAAAATTAGACAGCAGCATTCTCAGAAACTTCTTTGTGGTGTCTGCATTCAAGTCACAGAATTGAACTTCCCCCTCACATAGAGCAGTTGTGCAGCACTCTATTTGTAGTATCTGGAAGTGGACATTTGGAGGGCTTTGTAGCCTATCTGGAAAAAGGAAATATCTTCCCATGAATGCGAGATAGAAGTAATCTCAGAAACATGTTTATGCTGTATCTACTCAACTAACTGTGCTGAACATTTCTATTGATAGAGCAGTTTTGAGACACTCTCCTGTTGGAATCTGCAAGTGGATATTTCGATAGATTTGAGGATTTCCTTGGAAACGGGATTATATATCAAAAGTAGACAGCAGCATTCTCAGAAACTTCTTTGTGATGTTTGCATCCAGCTCTCAGAGTTGAACATTCCCTTTCATAGAGTAGGTTTGAAACCCTCTTTTTATAGTGTCTGGAAGCGGGCATTTGGAGCGCTTTCAGACCTATGCTTAAAATAGGAAATATCTACCTACAGAAACTAGACAGAAGCATTCTGAGAATCTCGTTTGTGATGTGGGTACTCAACTAACAGTGTTGATCCATTCTTTTGATACAGCAGTTTTGAACCACACTTTTTGTAGAATCTGCAAGAGGATATTTGGATAGCTGTGAGGATTTCGTTGGAAACGGGAATGTCTTCAAAGAAAATCTAGACAGAAACATTCTCAGAAACACCTTCGTGATGTTTGCAATCAAGTCACAGAGTTGAACCTTCCGTTTCATAGAGCAGGTTGGAAACACTCTTATTGTAGTATCTGGAAGTGGACATTTGGAGCGCTTTCAGGCCTATGGTGAAAAAGGAAATATCTTCCCATAAAAACGACATAGAAGCTATCTCAGGAACTTGTTTATGATGCATCCAATCAACTAACAGTGTTGAACCTTTGTACTGACAGAGCAGTTTGAAACACTCTTTTTTTGGAATCTGCAAGTGGATATTTGTATCGCTTTGAGAATTTCGTTGGAAACGGGATTACATATAAAAAGTAGACAGCAGCATACTCAGAAAATACTTTGCCATATTTCCATTCAAGTCACAGAGTGGAACATTCCCATTCATAGAGCAGGTTGGAAACACTCTTTTTGGAGTATCTGGAAGTGGACATTTGGAGCGCTTTCTGAACTATGGTGAAAAAGGAAATATCTTCCAATGAAAACAAGACAGAAGCATTCTGAGAAACTTATTTGTGATGTGTGTCCTCAACAAACGGACTTGAACCTTTCGTTTCATGCAGTACTTCTGGAACACTCTTTTTGAAGATTCTGCATGCGGATATTTGGATAGCTTTGAGGATTTCGTTGGAAACGGTCTTACATGTAAAAATTAGACAGCAGCATTCTCAGAAACTTCTTTGTGGTGTCTGCATTCAAGTCACAGAATTGAACATCCCCTCACATAGAGCAGTTGTGCAGCACTCTATTTGTAGTATCTCGAAGTGGACATTTGGAGGGCTTTGTAGCCTATCTGGAAAAAGGAAATATCTTCCCATGAATGCGAGATAGAAGTAATCTCAGAAACATGTTTATGCTGTATCTATTCAACTAACTGTGCTGAACATTTCTATTGATAGAGCAGTTTTGAGACACTCTTCTTTTGGAATCTGCAAGTGGATATTTGGATAGATTTGAGGATTTCGTTGGAAACGGGATTATATATCAAAAGTAGACAGCAGCATTCTCAGAAACTTCTTTGTGATGTTTGCATCCAGGTCCCAGAGTTGAACATTCCGTTTCATAGAGTAGGTTTGAAACCCCCTTTTTATAGTGTCTGGAAGCGGGCATTTGGAGTGCTTTCAGGCCTATGCTGAAAAAGGAAATATCTACCTACAGAAACTAGACAGAAGCATTCTGAGAATCACGTTTGTGATGTGGGTACTCAACTAACAGTGTTGATTCATTCTTTTGATACAGCAGTTTTGAACCACCCTTTTTGTAGAATCTGCAAGTGGATATTTGGATAGCTGTGAGGATTCGTTGGGAACGGGAATTTCTTCATAGAAAATTTAGACAGAAGCATTCTCAGAACCTGGATTGTGATGTGTGTTCTCCACTAACAGAGTTGAACCTTTCTTTTGACAGAACTGTTTTGAAACATTCTTTTTATAGAATCTGGAAGTGGATATTTGGAAAGCTTTGAGGATTTCGTTGGAAACGGGAATATCTTCAAATAAAATCTAGCCAGAAGCATTCTAAGAAACATCTTAGGGATGTTTACATTCAAGTCACAGAGTTGAACATTCCCCTTTCTCAGAGCAGGTTTGAAACAATCTTCTCGTACTATCTGGCAGTGGACATTTTGAGCTCCTTGGGGCCTATGCTGAAAAAGGAAATATCTTCCGACAAAAACTAGACAGAAGCATTCGCAGAATCACGTTTGTGATGTGTGCACTCAACTGTCAGAATTGAACCTTGGTTTGGACAGAGCACTTTTGAAACACTCTTTTTGTAGAATCTGCAGGTGGATATTTGGCTAGCTTTGAGGATTTCGTTGGAAACGGTAATGTCTTCAAAGAAAATCTAGACAGAAACATCCTCAGAAACACCTTCGTGATGTTTGCAATCAAGTCACAGAGTTGAACCTTCCGTTTCATAGAGCAGGTTGGAAACACTCTTTTTGTAGTATCTGGAAGTGGACATCTGGAGCGCTTTCAGGCCTATGGAGAAAAAGGAAATAGCTTCCCATAAAAACGACATAGAAGCTATCTCAGGAACTTGTTTATGATGCATCTAATCAACTAACAGTGTTGAACCTTTGTACTGACAGAGCAGTTTGAAACACTCTTTTTTTGGAATCTGCAAGTAGATATTTGGATCGCTTTGAGGATTTCGTTGGAAACGGGATGCAATATAAAACGTACAAAGCAGCATACTCAGAAAATACTTTGCCATATTTCCATTCAAGTCACAGAGTGGAACATTCCCATTCATAGAGCAGGTTTGAAACACTCTTTTTGGAGTATCTGGAAGTGGACATTTGGAGCGCTTTCTGAACTATGGTGAAAAAGGAAATATCTTCCAATGAAAACAAGACAGAAGCATTCTGAGAAACTTATTTGTGATGCGTGTCCTCAACTAACGGACTCGAACCTTTCGTTTCATGCAGTACTTCTGGAACACTCTTGTTGAAGATTCTGCATGCGGATATTTGGATAGCTTTGAGGATTTCGTTGGAAACGGGCTTACATATAAAAATTAGACAGCAGCATTCTCAGAAACTTCTTTGTGGTGTCTGCACTCAAGTCACAGAATTGAACATCCCCTCACATAGAGCAGTTGTGCAGCACTCTATTTGTAGTATCTCGAAGTGGACATTTGGAGGGCTTTGTAGCCTATCTATGTAGAAAAAGGAAATATCTTCCCATGAATGCGAGATAGAAGTAATCTCAGAAACATGTTTATGCTGTATCTACTCAACTAACTGTGCTGAACATTTCTATTGATAGAGCAGTTTTGAGACACTCTTCTTTTGGAATCTGCAAGTGGATATTTGGATAGATTTGAGGATTTCGTTGGAAACGGGATTATATATAAAAAGTAGCAGCATTCTCAGAAACTTCTTTGTGATGTTTGCATCCAGCTCTCAGAGTTGAACATTCCCTTTCATAGAGTAGGTTTGAAACCCTCTTTTTATAGTGTCTGGAAGCGGGCATTTGGAGCGCTTTCAGGCCTATGCTGAAAAAGGAAATATCTACCTATAGAAACTAGACAGAAGCATTCTGAGAATCACGTTTGTGATGTGGGTACTCAACTAACAGTGTTGATCCATTCTTTTGATACAGCAGTTTTGAACCACACTTTTTGTAGAATCTGCAAGTGGATATTTGGATAGCTGTGAGGATTTCGTTGGAAACGGGAATGTCTTCATAGAAAATTTAGACAGAAGCATTCTCAGAACCTTGATTGTGATGTGTGTTCTCCACTAACAGAGTTGAACCTTTCTTTTGACAGAACTGTTCTGAAACATTCTTGTTATAGAATCTGGAAGTGGATATTTGGAAAGCTTTGAGGATTTCGTTGGAAACGGGAATATCTTCAAATCAAATCTAGCCAGAAGCATTCTAAGAAACATCTTAGGGATGTTTACATTCAAGTCACAGAGTTGAACATTCCCTTTCACAGAGCAGGTTTGAAACAATCTTCTCGTACTATCTGGCAGTGGACATTTTGAGCTCCTTGGGGCCTATGCTGAAAAAGGAAATATCTTCCGACAAAAACTAGACAGAAGCATTCGCAGAATCACGTTTGTGATGTGTGCACTCAACTGTCAGAATTGAACCTTGGTTTGGACAGAGCACTTTTGAAACACTCTTTTTGTAGAATCTGCAGGTGGATATTTGGCTAGCTTTGAGGATTTCGTTGGAAACGGTAATGTCTTCAAAGAAAATCTAGACAGAAGCATTCTCAGAAACACCTTCGTGATGTTTGCAATCAAGTCACAGAGTTGAACCTTCCGTTTCATAGAGCAGGTTGGAAACACTCTTTCTGTAGTATCTGGAAGTGGACATTTGGAGGGCTTTGTAGCCTATCTGGAAAAAGGAAATATCTTCCCATGAATGCGAGATAGAAGCTATCTCAGGAACTTGTTTATGATGCATCTAATCAACTAACAGTGTTGAACCTTTGTACTGACAGAGCAGTTTGAAACACTCTTTTTTTGGAATCTGCAAGTGGATATTTGGATCGCTTTGAGGATTTCGTTGGAAACGGGATGCAATATAAAACGTACACAGCAGCATACTCAGAAAATACTTTGCCATATTTCCATTCAAGTCACAGAGTGGAACATTCCCATTCATAGAGCAGGTTTGAAACACTTTTTTTGGAGTGTCTGGAAGTGGACATTTGGAGCGCTTTCAGAACTATGGTGAAAAAGGAAATATCTTCCAATGAAAACAAGACAGAAGCATTCTGAGAAACTTATTTGTGATGCGTATCCTCAACTAACGGACTCGATCCTTTCGTTTCATGCAGTACTTCTGGAACACTCTTTTTGAAGATTCTGCATGCGGATATTTGGTTAGCTTTGAGGATTTCGTTGGAAACGGGCTTACATGTAAAAATTAGACAGCAGCATTCTCAGAAACTTCTTTGTGGTGTCTGCATTCAAGTCACAGAATTGAACATCCCCTCACATAGAGCAGTTGTGCAGCACTCTATTTGTAGTATCTCGAAGTGGACATTTGGAGGGCTTTGTAGCCTATCTGGAAAAAGGAAATATCTTCCCATGAATGCGAGATAGAAGTAATCTCAGAAACATGTTTATGCTGTATCTACTCAACTAACTGTGCTGAACATTTCTATTGATAGAGCAGTTTTGAGACACTCTTCTTTTGGAATCTGCAAGTGGATATTTGGATAGATTTGAGGATTTCGTTGGAAACGGGATTATATATAAAAAGTAGACAGCAGCATTCTCAGAAACTTCTTTGTGATGTTTGCATCCAGCTCTCAGAGTTGAACATTCCCTTTCATAGAGTAGGTTTGAAACCCTCTTTTTATAGTGTCTGGAAGCGGGCATTTGTAGCGCTTTCAGGCCTATGCTTAAAATAGGAAATATCTACCTACAGAAACTAGACAGGAAGCATTCTGAGAATCACGTTTGTGATGTGGGTACTCAGCTAACAGTGTTGATCCATTCTTTTGATACAGCAGTTTTGAACCACCCTTTTTGTAGAATCTGCAAGTGGATATTTGGATAGCTGTGAGGATTTCATTGGAAACGGGAATGTCTTCATAGAAAATTTAGACAGAAGCATTCTCAGAACCTTGATTGTGATGTGTGTTCTCCACTAACAGAGTTGAACCTTTCTTTTGACAGAACTGTTCTGAAACATTCTTTTTATAGAATCTGGAAGTGGATATTTGGAAAGCTTTGAGGATTTCGTTGGAAACGGGAATATCTTCAAATAAAATCTAGCCAGAAGCATTCTAAGAAACATCTTAGGGATGTTTACATTCAAGTCACAGAGTTGAACATTCCCTTTCACAGAGCAGGTTTGAAACAATCTTCTCGTACTATCTGGCAGTGGACATTTTGAGCTCTTTGGGGCCTATGCTGAAAAAGGAAATATCTTCCGACAAAAACTAGTCAGAAGCATTCGCAGAATCACGTTTGTGATGTGTGCACTCAACTGTCAGAATTGAACCTTGGTTTGGAGAGAGCACTTTTGAAACACACTTTTTGTAGAATCTGCAGGTGGATATTTGGCTAGCTTTGAGGATTTCGTTGGAAACGGTAATGTCTTCAAAGAAAATACTAGACAGAAGCATTCTCAGAAACACCTTCGTGATGTTTGCAATCAAGTCACAGAGTTGAACCTTCCGTTTCATAGAGCAGGTTGGAAACACTCTTATTGTAGTATCTGGAAGTGGACATTTGGAGCGCTTTCAGGCCTATGGTGAAAAAGGAAATATCTTCCCATAAAAACGACATAGAAGCTATCTCAGGAACTTGTTTATGATGCATCTAATCAACTAACAGTGTTGAACCTTTGTACTGACAGAGCAGTTTGAAAAACTCTTTTTTTGGAATCTGCAAGTGGATATTTGGATCGCTTTGAGGATTTCGTTGGAAACGGGATGCAATATAAAACGTACACAGCAGCATACTCAGAAAATACTTTGCCATATTTCCATTCAAGTCACAGAGTGGAACATTCCCATTCATAGAGCAGGTTTGAAACACTCTTTTTGGAGTATCTGGAAGTGGACATTTGGAGCGCTTTCTGAACTATGGTGAAAAAGGAAATATCTTCCAATGAAAACAAGACAGAAGCATTCTGAGAAACTTATTTGTGATGTGTGTCCTCAACAAACGGACTTGAACCTTTCGTTTCATGCAGTACTTCTGGAACACTCTTTTTGAAGATTCTGCATGCGGATATTTGGATAGCTTTGAGGATCTCGTTGGAAACGGGCTTACATGTAAAAATTAGACAGCAGCATTCTCAGAAACTTCTTTGTGGTGTCTGCATTCAAGTCACAGAATTGAACATCCCCTCACATAGAGCAGTTGTGCAGCACTCTATTTGTAGTATCTGGAAGTGGACATTTGGAGGGCTTTGTAGCCTATCTGGAAAAAGGAAATATCTTCCCATGAATGCGAGATAGAAGTAATCTCAGAAACATGTTTATGCTGTATCTACTCAACTAACTGTGCTGAACATTTCTATTGATAGAGCAGTTTTGAGACACTCTTCTTTTGGAATCTGCAAGTGGATATTTGGATAGATTTGAGGATTTCGTTGGAAACGGGATTATATATAAAAAGTAGACAGCAGCATTCTCAGAAACTTCTTTGTGATGTTTGCATCCAGCTCTCAGAGTTGAACATTCCCTTTCATAGAGTAGGTTTGAAACCCTCTTTTTATAGTGTCTGGAAGCGGGCATTTGGAGCGCTTTCAGGCCTATGCTGAAAAAGGAAATATCTACCTATAGAAACTAGACAGAAGCATTCTGAGAATCACGTTTGTGATGTGGGTACTCAACTAACAGTGTTGATCCATTCTTTTGATACAGCAGTTTTGAACCACACTTTTTGTAGAATCTGCAAGTGGATATTTGGATAGCTGTGAGGATTTCGTTGGAAACGGGAATGTCTTCATAGAAAATTTAGACAGAAGCATTCTCAGAACCTTGATTGTGATGTGTGTTCTCCACTAACAGAGTTGAACCTTTCTTTTGACAGAACTGTTCTGAAACATTCTTTTTATAGAATCTGGAAGTGGATATTTGGAAAGCTTTGAGGATTTCGTTGGAAACGGGAATATCTTCAAATCAAATCTACGCCAGAAGCATTCTAAGAAACATCTTAGGGATGTTTACATTCAAGTCACAGAGTTGAACATTCCCTTTCACAGAGCAGGTTTGAAACAATCTTCTCGTACTATCTGGCAGTGGACATTTTGAGCTCCTTGGGGCCTATGCTGAAAAAGGAAATATCTTCCGACAAAAACTAGACAGAAGCATTCGCAGAATCACGTTTGTGATGTGTGCACTCAACTGTCAGAATTGAACCTTGGTTTGGACAGAGCACTTTTGAAACACTCTTTTTGTAGAATCTGCAGGTGGATATTTGGCTAGCTTTGAGGATTTCGTTGGAAACGGTAATGTCTTCAAAGAAAATCTAGACAGAAACATTCTCAGAAACACCTTCGTGATGTTTGCAATCAATTCACAGAGTTGAACCTTCCGTTTCATAGAGCAGGTTGGAAACACTCTTTTTGTAGTATCTGGAAGTGGACATTTGGAGCGCTTTCAGGCCTATGGTGAAAAAGGAAATATCTTCCCATGAAAACGACATAGAAGCTATCTCAGGAACTTGTTTATGATGCATCCAATCAACTAACAGTGTTGAACCTTTGTACTGACAGAGCAGTGTGAAACACTCTTTTTTTTGGAATCTGCAAGTGGATATTTGGATCGGTTTGAGGATTTCGTTGGAAACGGGATGCAATATAAAACGTAAACAGCAGCATACTCAGAAAATACTTTGCCATATTTCCATTCAAGTCACAGAGTGGAACATTCCCATTCATGGAGCAGGTTGGAAACACTCCTTTTCTAGTATCTGGAAGTGGTCATTTGGAGCGCTTTCTGAACTATGATGAAAAAGGAAATATCTTCCAATGAAAACAAGACAGAAGCATTCTGAGAAACTTATTTTTGATGTGTGTCCTCCACTAACGGACTTGAACCTTTCGTTTCATGCAGTACTTCTGGAACACTCTTTTTGAAGATTCTGCATGCGGATATTTGGATAGCTTTGAGGATTTCTTTGGAAACGGGCTTACATATAAAAATTAGACAGCAGCATTCTCAGAAACTTCTTTGTGGTGTCTGCATTCAAGTCACAGAATTGAACTTCCCCTCACATAGAGCAGTTGTGCAGCACTCTATTTGTAGTATCTGGAAGTGGACATTTGGAGGGCTTTGTAGCCTATCTGGAAAAAGGAAATATCTTCCCATGAATGCGAGATAGAAGTAATCTCAGAAACATGTTTATGCTGTATCTACTCAACTAACTTTGCTGAACATTTCTATTGATAGAGCAGTTTTGAGACACTCTTCTTTTGGAATCTGCAAGTGGATATTTGGATAGATTTGAGGATTTCGTTGGAAACGGGATTATATATCAAAAGTAGACAGCAGCATTCTCAGAAACTTCTTTGTGATGTTTGCATCCAGCTCTCAGAGTTGAACATTCCCTTTCATAGAGTAGGTTTGAAACCCTCTTTTTATAGTGTCTGGAAGCGGGCATTTGGAGCGCTTTCAGGCCTATGCTGAAAAAGGAAATATCTACCTATAGAAACTAGACAGAAGCATTCTGAGAATCACGTTTGTGATGTGGGTACTCAACTAACAGTGTTGATCCATTCTTTTGATACAGCAGTTTTGAACCACACTTTTTGTAGAATCTGCAAGTGGATATTTGGATAGCTGTGAGGATTTCGTTGGAAACGGGAATGTCTTCATAGGAAATTTAGACAGAAGCATTCTCAGAACCTTGATTGTGATGTGTGTTCTCCACTAACAGAGTTGAACCTTTCTTTAGACAGAACTGTTGTGAAACATTCTTTTTATAGAATCTGGAAGTGGATATTTGGAAAGCTTTGAGGATTTCATTGGAAACGGGAATATCTTCAAATAAAATCTAGCCAGAAGCATTCTAAGAAACATCTTAGGGATGTTTACATTCAAGTCACAGAGTTGAACATTCCCTTTCACAGAGCAGGTTTGAAACAATCTTCTCGTACTATCTGGCAGTGGACATTTTGAGCTCCTTGGGGCCTATGCTGAAAAAGGAAATATCTTCCGACAAAAACTAGACAGAAGCATTCGCAGAATCACGTTTGTGATGTGTGCACTCAACTGTCAGAATTGAACCTTGGTTTGGACAGAGCACTTTTGAAACACTCTTTTTGTAGAATCTGCAGGTGGATATTTGGCTAGCTTTGAGGATTTCGTTGGAAACGGTAATGTCTTCAAAGAAAATCTAGACAGAAGCATTCTCAGAAACAACTTCGTGATGTTTGCAATCAAGTCACAGAGTTGAACCTTCCGTTTCATAGAGCAGGTTGGAAACACTCTTTTTGTAGTATCTGGAAGTGGACATTTGGAGGGCTTTGTAGCCTATGTGGAAAAAGGAAATATCTTCCCATGAATGCGAGATAGAAGTAATCTCAGAAACATGTTTATGCTGTATCTACTCAACTAACTGTGCTGAACATTTCTATTGATAGAGCAGTTTTGAGACACTCTTCTTTTGGAATCTGCAAGTGGATATTTGGAGAGATTTGAGGATTTCGTTGGAAACGGGATTATATATAAAAAGTAGACAGCAGCATTCTCAGAAACTTCTTTGTGATGTTTGCATCCAGCTCTCAGAGTTGAACATTCCCTTTCATAGAGTAGGTTTGAAACCCTCTTTTTATAGTGTCTGGAAGCGGGCATTTGGAGCGCTTTCAGACCTATGCTTAAAATAGGAAATATCTACCTACAGAAACTAGACAGAAGCATTCTGAGAATCTCGTTTGTGATGTGGGTACTCAACTAACAGTGTTGATCCATTCTTTTGATACAGCAGTTTTGAACCACACTTTTTGTAGAATCTGCAAGAGGATATTTGGATAGCTGTGAGGATTTCGTTGGAAACGGGAATGTCTTCAAAGAAAATCTAGACAGAAACATTCTCAGAAACACCTTCGTGATGTTTGCAATCAAGTCACAGAGTTGAACCTTCCGTTTCATAGAGCAGGTTGGAAACACTCTTATTGTAGTATCTGGAAGTGGACATTTGGAGCGCTTTCAGGCCTATGGTGAAAAAGGAAATATCTTCCCATAAAAACGACATAGAAGCTATCTCAGGAACTTGTTTATGATGCATCTAATCAACTAACAGTGTTGAACCTTTGTACTGACAGAGCAGTTTGAAACACTCTTTTTTTGGAATCTGCAAGTGGATATTTGGATCGCTTTGAGGATTTCGTTGGAAACGGGATGCAATATAAAACGTACACAGCAGCATACTCAGAAAATACTTTGCCATATTTCCATTCAAGTCACAGAGTGGAACATTCCCATTCATAGAGCAGGTTGGAAACACTCTTTTTGGAGTATCTGGAAGTGGACATTTGGAGCGCTTTCTGAACTATGGTGAAAAAGGAAATATCTTCCAATGAAAACAAGACAGAAGCATTCTGAGAAACTTATTTGTGATGTGTGTCCTCAACAAACGGACTTGAACCTTTCGTTTCATGCAGTACTTCTGGAACACTCTTTTTGAAGATTCTGCATGCGGATATTTGGATAGCTTTGAGGATTTCGTTGGAAACGGGCTTACATGTAAAAATTAGACAGCAGCATTCTCAGAAACTTCTTTGTGGTGTCTGCATTCAAGTCACAGAGTTGAACTTCCCCTCACATAGAGCAGTTGTGCAGCACTCTATTTGTAGTATCTGGAAGTGGACATTTGGAGGGCTTTGTAGCCTATCTGGAAAAAGGAAATATCTTCCCATGAATGCGAGATAGAAGTAATCTGAGAAACATGTTTATGCTGTATCTACTCAACTAACTGTGCTGAACATTTCTATTGATAGAGCAGTTTTGAGACACTCTTCTTTTGGAATCTGCAAGTGGATATTTGGATAGATTTGAGGATTTCGTTGGAAACGGGATTATATATAAAAAGTAGACAGCAGCATTCTCAGAAACTTCTTTGTGATGTTTGCATCCAGCTCTCAGAGTTGAACATTCCCTTTCATAGAGTAGGTTTGAAACCCTCTTTTTATAGTGTCTGGAAGCGGGCATTTGGAGCGCTTTCAGGCCTATGCTTAAAATAGGAAATATCTACCTACAGAAACTAGACAGAAGCATTCTGAGAATCACGTTTGTGATGTGGGTACTCAACTAACAGTGTTGATCCTTTCTTTTGATACAGCAGTTTTGAACCACACTTTTTGTAGAATCTGCAAGTGGATATTTGGATAGCTGTGAGGATTTCGTTGGAAACGGGAATGTCTTCATAGAAAATTTAGACAGAAGCATTCTCAGAACCTTGATTGTGATGTGTGTTCTCCACTAACAGAGTTGAACCTTTCTTTTGACAGAACTGTTCTGAAACATTCTTTTTATAGAATCTGGAAGTGGATATTTGGAAAGCTTTGAGGATTTCGTTGGAAACGGGAATATCTTCAAATCAAATCTAGCCAGAAGCATTCTAAGAAACATCTTAGGGATGTTTACATTCAAGTCACAGAGTTGAACATTCCCTTTCACAGAGCAGGTTTGAAACAATCTTCTCGTACTATCTGGAAGTGGACATTTTGAGCTCCTTGGGGCCTATGCTGAAAAAGGAAATATCTTCCGACAAAAACTAGACAGAAGCATTCGCAGAATCACGTTTGTGATGTGTGCACTGAACTGTCAGAATTGAACCTTTGTTTGGATAGAGCACTTTTGAAACACTCTTTTTGTAGAATCTGCAGGTGGATATTTGACTAGCTTTGAGGATTTCGTTGGAAATGGTAATGTCTTCAAAGAAAATCTAGACAGAAACATTCTCAGAAACACCTTCGTGATGTTTGCAATCAAGTCACAGAGTTGAACCTTCCGTTTCATAGAGCAGGTTGGAAACACTCTTTTTGTAGTATCTGGAAGTGGACATTTGGAGCGCTTTCAGGCCTATGGTGAAAAAGGAAATATCTTCCCATAAAAACGACATAGAAGCTATCTCAGGAACTTGTTTATGATGCATCCAATCAACTAACAGTGTTGAACCTTTGTACTGACAGAGCAGTGTGAAACACTCTTTTTTTTGGAATCTGCAAGTGGATATTTGGATCGCTTTGAGGATTTCGTTGGAAACGGGATGCAATATAAAACGTAAACAGCAGCATACTCAGAAAATACTTTGCCATATTTCCATTCAAGTCACAGAGTGGAACATTCCCATTCATGGAGCAGGTTGGAAACACTCCTTTTCTAGTATCTGGAAGTGGTCATTTGGAGCGCTTTCTGAACTATGATGAAAAAGGAAATATCTTCCAATGAAAACAAGACAGAAGCATTCTGAGAAACTTATTTGTGATGTGTGTCCTCAACAAACGGACTTGAACCTTTCGTTTCATGCAGTACTTCTGGAACACTCTTTTTGAAGATTCTGCATGCGGATATTTGGATAGCTTTGAGGATTTCGTTGGAAACGGGCTTACATGTAAAAATTAGACAGCAGCATTCTCAGAAACTTCTTTGTGGTGTCTGCATTCAAGTCACAGAATTGAACTTCCCCTCACATAGAGCAGTTGTGCAGCACTCTATTTGTAGTATCTGGAAGGGGACATTTGGAGGGCTTTGTAGCCTATCTGGAAAAAGGAAATATCTTCCCATGAATGCGAGATAGAAGTAATCTCAGAAACATGTTTATGCTGTATCTACTCAACTAACTGTGCTGAACATTTCTATTGATAGAGCAGTTTTGAGACACTCTTCTTTTGGAATCTGCAAGTGGATATTTGGATAGATTTGAGGATTTCGTTGGAAACGGGATTATATATAAAAAGTAGACAGCAGCATTCTCAGAAACTTCTTTGTGATGTTTGCATCCAGCTCTCAGAGTTGAACATTCCCTTTCATAGAGTAGGTTTGAAACCCTCTTTTTATAGTGTCTGGAAGCGGGCATTTGGAGCGCTTTCAGGCCTATGCTGAAAAAGGAAATATCTACCTATAGAAACTAGACAGAAGCATTCTGAGAATCACGTTTGTGATGTGGGTACTCAACTAACAGTGTTGATCCATTCTTTTGATACAGCAGTTTTGAACCACACTTTTTGTAGAATCTGCAAGTGGATATTTGGATAGCTGTGAGGATTTCGTTGGAAACGGGAATGTCTTCATAGAAAATTTAGACAGAAGCATTCTCAGAACCTTGATTGTGATGTGTGTTCTCCACTAACAGAGTTGAACCTTTCTTTTGACAGAACTGTTCTGAAACATTCTTTTTATAGAATCTGGAAGTGGATATTTGGAAAGCTTTGCGGATTTCGTTGGAAACGGGAATATCTTCAAATAAAATCTAGCCAGAAGCATTCTAAGAAACATCTTAGGGATGTTTACATTCAAGTCACAGAGTTGAACATTCCCTTTCACAGAGCAGGTTTGAAACAATCTTCTCGTACTATCTGGCAGTGGACATTTTGAGCTGCCTTGGGGCCTATGCTGAAAAAGGAAATATCTTCTGACAAAAACTAGACAGAAGCATTCGCAGAATCACGTTTGTGATGTGTGCACTCAACTGTCAGAATTGAACCTTGGTTTGGACAGAGCACTTTTGAAACACTCTTTTTGTAGAATCTGCAGGTGGATATTTGGCTAGCTTTGAGGATTTCGTTGGAAACGGTAATGTCTTCAAAGAAAATCTAGACAGAAGCATTCTCAGAAACACCTTCGTGATGTTTGCAATCAAGTCACAGAGTTGAACCTTCCGTTTCATAGAGCAGGTTGGAAACACTCTTTTTGTAGTATCTGGAAGTGGACATTTGGAGGGCTTTGTAGCCTATCTGGAAAAAGGAAATATCTTCCCATGAATGCGAGATAGAAGTAATCTGAGAAACATGTTTATGCTGTATCTACTCAACTAACTGTGCTGAACATTTCTATTGATAGAGCAGTTTTGAGACACTCTTCTTTTGGAATCTGCAAGTGGATATTTGGATAGATTTGAGGATTTCGTTGGAAACGGGATTATATATAAAAAGTAGACAGCAGCATTCTCAGAAACTTCTTTGTGATGTTTGCATCCAGCTCTCAGAGTTGAACATTCCCTTTCATAGAGTAGGTTTGAAACCCTCTTTTTATAGTGTCTGGAAGCGGGCATTTGGAGCGCTTTCAGGCCTATGCTGAAAAAGGAAATATCTACCTATAGAAACTAGACAGAAGCATTCTGAGAATCACGTTTGTGATGTGGGTACTCAACTAACAGTGTTGATCCATTCTTTTGATACAGCAGTTTTGAACCACACTTTTTGTAGAATCTGCAAGTGGATATTTGGATAGCTGTGAGGATTTCGTTGGAAACGGGAATGTCTTCATAGAAAATTTAGACGGAAGCATTCTCAGAACCTTGATTGTGATGTGTGTTCTCCACTAACAGAGTTGAACCTTTCTTTTGACAGAACTGTTCTGAAACATTCTTGTTATAGAATCTGGAAGTGGATATTTGGAAAGCTTTGAGGATTTCGTTGGAAACGGGAATATCTTCAAATCAAATCTAGCCAGAAGCATTCTAAGAAACATCTTAGGGATGTTTACATTCAAGTCACAGAGTTGAACATTCCCTTTCACAGAGCAGGTTTGAAACAATCTTCTCGTACTATCTGGCAGTGGACATTTTGAGCTCTTTGGGGCCTATGCTGAAAAAGGAAATATCTTCCGACAAAAACTAGACAGAAGCATTCGCAGAATCACGTTTGTGATGTGTGCACTCAACTGTCAGAATTGAACCTTGGTTTGGACAGAGCACTTTTGAAACACTCTTTTTGTAGAATCTGCAGGTGGATATTTGGCTAGCTTTGAGGATTTCGTTGGAAACGGTAATGTCTTCAAAGAAAATCTAGACAGAAGCATTCTCAGAAACACCTTCGTGATGTTTGCAATCAAGTCACAGAGTTGAACCTTCCGTTTCATAGAGCAGGTTGGAAACACACTTTTTGTAGTATCTGGAAGTGGACATTTGGAGGGCTTTGTAGCCTATCTGGAAAAAGGAAATATCTTCCCATGAATGCGAGATAGAAGCTATCTCAGGAACTTGTTTATGATGCATCCAATCAACTAACAGTGTTGAACCTTTGTACTGACAGAGCAGTGTGAAACACTCTTTTTTTTGGAATCTGCAAGTGGATATTTGGATCGCTTTGAGGATTTCGTTGGAAACGGGATGCAATATAAAACGTACACAGCAGCATACTCAGAAAATACGTTGCCATATTTCCATTCAAGTCACAGAGTGGAACATTCCCATTCATAGAGCAGGTTGGAAACACTCTTTTTGTAGTATGTGGAAGTGGACATTTGGAGGGCTTTCTGAACTATGGTGAAAAAGGAAATATCTTCCAATGAAAACAAGACAGAAGCATTCTGAGAAACTTATTTGTGATGTGTGTCCTCAACTAACGGACTTGAACCTTTCGTTTCATGCAGTACTTCTGGAACACTCTTTTTGAAGATTCTGCATGCGGATCTTTGGATAGCTTTGAGGATTTCGTTGGAAACGGGCTTACATGTAAAAATTAGACAGCAGCATTCTCAGAAACTTCTTTGTGGTGTCTGCGTTCAAGTCACAGAATTGAACATCCCCTCACATAGAGCAGTTGTGCAGCACTCTATTTGTAGTATCTCGAAATGTACATTTGGAGGGCTTTGTAGCCTATCTGGAAAAAGGAAATATCTTTCCATGAATGCGAGATAGAAGTAATCTCAGAAACATGTTTATGCTGTATCTACTCAACTAACTGTGCTGAACATCTCTATTGATAGAGCAGTTTTGAGACACTCTTCTTTTGGAATCTGCAAGTGGATATTTGGATAGATTTGAGGATTTCGTTGGAAACGGGATTATATATCAAAAGTAGACAGCAGCATTCTCAGAAACTTCTTTGTGATGTTTGCATCCAGCTCTCAGAGTTGAACATTCCCTTTCATAGAGTAGGTTTGAAACCCTCTTTTTATAGTGTCTGGAAGCGGGCATTTGGAGCGCTTTCAGGCCTATGCTGAAAAAGGAAATATCTACCTACAGAAACTAGACAGAAGCATTCTGAGAATCACGTTTGTGATGTGGGTACTCAACTAACAGTGTTGATCCATTCTTTTGATACAGCAGTTTTGAACCACACTTTTTGTAGAACCTGCAAGTGGATATTTGGATAGCTGTGAGGATTTCGTTGGAAACGGGAATGTCTTCATAGAAAATTTAGACAGAAGCATTCTCAGAACCTTGATTGTGATGTGTGTTCTCCACTAACAGAGTTGAACCTTTCTTTTGACAGAACTGTTCTGAAACATTCTTTTTATAGAATCTGGAAGTGGATATTTGGAAAGCTTTGAGGATTTCGTTGGAAACGGGAATATCTTCAAATAAAATCTAGCCAGAAGCATTCTAAGAAACATCTTAGGGATGTTTACATTCAAGTCACAGAGTTGAACATTCCCTTTCACAGAGCAGGTTTGAAACAATCTTCTCGTACTATCTGGCAGTGGACATTTTGAGCTCCTTGGGGCCTATGCTGAAAAAGGAAATATCTTCCGACAAAAACTAGACAGAAGCATTCGCAGAATCACGTTTGTGATGTGTGCACTCAACTGTCAGAATTGAACCTTTGTTTGGACACAGCACTTTTGAAACACTCTTTTTGTAGAATCTGCAGGTGGATATTTGACTAGCTTTGAGGATTTCGTTGGAAACGGTAATGTCTTCAAAGAAAATCTAGACAGAAGCATTCTCAGAAACACCTTCGTGATGTTTGCAATCAAGTCACAGAGTTGAACCTTCCGTTTCATAGAGCAGGTTGGAAACACTCTTATTGTAGTATCTGGAAGTGGACATTTGGAGCGCTTTCAGGCCTATGGTGAAAAAGGAAATATCTTCCCATAAAAACGACATAGAAGCTATCTCAGGAACTTGTTTGTGATGCATCTAATCAACTAACAGTGTTGAACCTTTGTACTGACAGAGCAGTTTGAAACACTCTTTTTTTGGAATCTGCAAGTGGATATTTGGATCGCTTTGAGGATTTCGTTGGAAACGGGATGCAATATAAAACGTACACAGCAGCATACTCAGAAAATACTTTGCCATATTTCCATTCAAGTCACAGAGTGGAACATTCCCATTCATAGAGCAGGTTTGAAACACTCTTTTTGGAGTGTCTGGAAGTGGACATTTGGAGCGCTATCTGAACTATGGTGAAAAAGGAAATATCTTCCAATGAAAACAAGACAGAAGCATTCTGAGAAACTTATTTGTGATGTGTGTCCTCAACAAACGGACTTGAACCTTTCGTTTCATGCAGTACTTCTGGAACACTCTTTTTGAAGATATTGCATGCGGATATTTGGATAGCTTTGAGGATTTCGTTGGAAACGGGTTTACATGTAAAAATTAGACAGCAGCATTCTCAGAAACTTCTTTGTGGTGTCTGCATTCAAGTCACAGAATTGAACTTCCCCTCACATAGAGCAGTTGTGCAGCACTCTATTTGTAGTATCTGGAAGTGGACATTTGGAGGGCTTTGTAGCCTATCTGGAAAAAGGAAATATCTTCCCATGAATGCGAGATAGAAGTAATCTCAGAAACATGTTTATGCCGTATCTACTCAACTAACTGTGCTGAACATTTCTATTGATAGAGCAGTTTTGAGACACTCTTCTTTTGGAATCTGCAAGTGGATATTTGGATAGATTTGAGGATTTCGTTGGAAACGGGATTATATATAAAAAGTAGACAGCAGCATTCTCAGAAACTTCTTTGTGATGTTTGCATCCAGCTCTCAGAGTTGAACATTCCCTTTCATAGAGTAGGTTTGAAACCCTCTTTTTATAGTGTCTGGAAGCGGGCATTTGGAGCGCTTTCAGGCCTATGCTGAAAAAGGAAATATCTACCTATAGAAACTAGACAGAAGCATTCTGAGAATCACGTTTGTGATGTGGGTACTCAACTAACAGTGTTGATCCATTCTTTTGATACAGCAGTTTTGAACCACACTTTTTGTAGAATCTGCAAGTGGATATTTGGATAGCTGTGAGGATTTTCTTGGAAACGGGAATGCCTTCATAGAAAATTTAGACAGAAGCATTCTCAGAACATTGATTGTGATGTGTGTTCTCCACTAACAGAGTTGAACCTTTCTTTTGACAGAACTGTTCTGAAACATTCTTTTTATAGAATCTGGAAGTGGATATTTGGAAAGCTTTGAGGATTTCGTTGGAAACGGGAATATCTTCAAATCAAATCTAGCCAGAAGCATTCTAAGAAACATCTTAGGGATGTTTACATTCAAGTCACAGAGTTGAAAATTCCCTTTCACAGAGCAGGTTTGAAACAATCTTCTCGTACTATCTGGAAGTGGACATTTTGTGTTCCTTGTGGCCTATGCTGAAAAAGGAAATATCTTCCGACAAAAACTAGACAGAAGCATTCGCAGAATCACGTTTGTGATGTGTGCACTCAACTGTCAGAATTGAACCTTGGTTTGGACAGAGCACTTTTGAAACACTCTTTTTGTAGAATCTGCAGGTGGATATTTGGCTAGCTTTGAGGATTTCGTTGGAAACGGTAATGTCTTCAAAGAAAATCTAGACAGAAGCATTCTCAGAAACACCTTCGTGATGTTTGCAATCAAGTCACAGAGTTGAACCTTCCGTTTCATAGAGCAGGTTGGAAACACTCTTTGTAGTATCTGGAAGTGGACATTTGGAGGGCTTTGTAGCCTATCTGGAAAAAGGAAATATCTTCCCATGAATGCGAGATAGAAGTAATCTCAGAAACATGTTTATGCTGTATCTACTCAACTAACTGTGCTGAACATTTCTATTGATAGAGCAGTTTTGAGACACTCTTCTTTTGGAATCTGCAAGTGGATATTTGGATAGATTTGAGGATTTCGTTGGAAACGGGATTATATATAAAAAGTAGACAGCAGCATTCTCAGAAACTTCTTTGTGATGTTTGCATCCAGCTCTCAGAGTTGAACATTCCCTTTCATAGAGTAGGTTTGAAACCCTCTTTTTATAGTGTCTGGAAGAGGGCATTTGGAGCGCTTTCAGGCCTATGCTTAAAATAGGAAATATCTACCTACAGAAACTAGACAGAAGCATTCTGAGAATCACGTTTGTGATGTTGGTACTCAACTAACAGTGTTGATCCATTCTTTTGATACAGCAGTTTTGAACCACACTTTTTGTAGAATCTGCAAGAGGATATTTGGATAGCTGTGAGGATTTCGTTGGAAACGGGAATGTCTTCAAAGAAAATCTAGACAGAAGCATTCTCAGAAACACCTTCGTGATGTTTGCAATCAAGTCACAGAGTTGAACCTTCCGTTTCATAGAGCAGGTTGGAAACACTCTTATTGTAGTATCTGGAAGTGGACATTTGGAGCGCTTTCAGGCCTATGGTGAAAAAGGAAATATCTTCCCATAAAAACGACATAGAAGCTATCTCAGGAACTTTTTTATGATGCATCTAATCAACTAACAGTGTTGAACCTTTGTACTGACAGAGCAGTTTGAAACACTCTTTTTTTGGAATCTGCAAGTGGATATTTGGATCGCTTTGAGGATTTCGTTGGAAACGGGATGCAATATAAAACGTACACAGCAGCATACTCAGAAAATACTTTGCCATATTTCCATTCAAGTCACAGAGTGGAACATTCCCATTCATAGAGCAGGTTGGAAACACTCTTTTTGGAGTATCTGGAAGTGGACATTTGGAGCGCTTTCTGAACTATGGTGAAAAAGGAAATATCTTCCAATGAAAACAAGACAGAAGCATTCTGAGAAACTTATTTGTGATGCATGTCCTCAACTAACGGACTCGAACCTTTCGTTTCATGCAGTACTTCTGGAACACTCTTTTTGAAGATTCTGCATGCGGATATTTGGATAGCTTTGAGGATTTCGTTGGAAACGGGCTTACATATAAAAATTAGACAGCAGCATTCTCAGAAACTTCTTTGTGGTGTCTGCATTCAAGTCACAGAATTGAACATCCCCTCACATTGGGCAGTTGTGCAGCACTCTATTTGTAGTATCTCGATGTGGACATTTGGAGGGCTTTGTAGCCTATCTGGAAAAAGGAAATATCTTCCCATGAATGCGAGATAGAAGTAATCTCAGAAACATGTTTATGCTGTATCTACTCAACTAACTGTGCTGAACATTTCTATTGATAGAGCAGTTTTGAGACACTCTTCTTTTGGAATCTGCAAGTGGATATTTGGATAGATTTGAGGATTTCGTTGGAAACGGGATTATATATCAAAAGTAGACAGCAGCATTCTCAGAAACTTCTTTGTGATGTTTGCATCCAGCTCTCAGAGTTGAACATTCCCTTTCATAGAGTAGGTTTGAAACCCTCTTTTTATAGTGTCTGGAAGCGGGCATTTGGAGCGCTTTCAGGCCTATGCTGAAAAAGGAAATATCTACCTATAGAAACTAGACAGAAGCATTCTGAGAATCACGTTTGTGATGTGGGTACTCAACTAACAGTGTTGATCCATTCTTTTGATACAGCAGTTTTGAACCACACTTTTTGTAGAATCTGCAAGTGGATATTTGGATAGCTGTGAGGATTTCGTTGGAAACGGGAATGTCTTCATAGAAAATTTAGACAGAAGCATTCTCAGAACCTTGATTGTGATGTGTGTTCTCCACTAACAGAGTTGAACCTTTCTTTTGACAGAACTGTTCTGAAACATTCTTTTTATAGAATCTGGAAGTGGATATTTGGAAAGCTTTGAGGATTTCGTTGGAAACGGGAATATCTTCAAATAAAATCTAGCCAGAAGCATTCTAAGAAACATCTTAGGGATGTTTACATTCAAGTCACAGAGTTGAACATTCCCTTTCACAGAGCAGGTTTGAAACAATCTTCTCGTACTATCTGGCAGTGGACATTTTGAGCTCTTTGGGGCCTATGCTGAAAAAGGAAATATCTTCCGACAAAAACTAGACAGAAGCATTCGCAGAATCACGTTTGTGATGTGTGCACTCAACTGTCAGAATTGAACCTTGGTTTGGAGAGAGCACTTTTGAAACAGACTTTTTGTAGAATCTGCAGGTGGATATTTGGCTAGCTTTGAGGATTTCGTTGGAAACGGTAATGTCTTCAAAGAAAATCTAGACAGAAGCATTCTCAGAAACACCTTCGTGATGTTTGCAATCAAGTCACAGAGTTGAACCTTCCGTTTCATAGAGCAGGTTGGAAACACACTTTTTGTAGTATCTGGAAGTGGACATTTGGAGGGCTTTGTAGCCTATCTGGAAAAAGGAAATATCTTCCCATGAATGCGAGATAGAAGCTATCTCAGGAACTTGTTTATGATGCATCTAATCAACTAACAGTGTTGAACCTTTGTACTGACAGAGCAGTTTGAAACACTCTTTTTTTGGAATCTGCAAGTGGATATTTGGATCGCTTTGAGGATTTCGTTGGAAACGGGATGCAATATAAAACGTACACAGCAGCATACTCAGAAAATACTTTGCCATATTTCCATTCAAGTCACAGAGTGGAACATTCCCATTCATAGAGCAGGTTTGAAACACTCTTTTTGGAGTATCTGGAAGTGGACATTTGGAGCGCTTTCTGAACTATGGTGAAAAAGGAAATATCTTCCAATGAAAACAAGACAGAAGCATTCTGAGAAACTTATTTGTGATGTGTGTCCTCAACAAACGGACTTGAACCTTTCGTTTCATGCAGTACTTCTGGAACACTCTTTTTGAAGATATTGCATGCGGATATTTGGATAGCTTTGAGGATTTCGTTGGAAACGGGTTTACATGTAAAAATTAGACAGCAGCATTCTCAGAAACTTCTTTGTGGTGTCTGCATTCAAGTCACAGAATTGAACTTCCCCTCACATAGAGCAGTTGTGCAGCACTCTATTTGTAGTATCTGGAAGTGGACATTTGGAGGGCTTTGTAGCCTATCTGGAAAAAGGAAATATCTTCCCATGAATGCGAGATAGAAGTAATCTCAGAAACATGTTTATGCTGTATCTACTCAACTAACTGTGCTGAACATTTCTATTGATAG
Source organism: Homo sapiens (assembly GCF_000001405.40). Taxonomy (NCBI): domain Eukaryota; kingdom Metazoa; phylum Chordata; class Mammalia; order Primates; family Hominidae; genus Homo; species Homo sapiens. Next base: position 45,525,658 of record NC_000008.11, read on the forward strand.
AGCAGTTTTGAGACACTCTTCTTTTGGAATCTGCAAGTGGATATTTGGATAGATTTGAGGATTTCGTTGGAAACGGGATTATATATAAAAAGTAGACAGCAGCATTCTCAGAACTTCTTTGTGATGTTTGCATCCAGCTCTCAGAGTTGAACATTCCCTTTCATATAGTAGGTTTGAAACCCCCTTTTTATAGTGTCTGGAAGCGGGCATTTGGAGCGCTTTCAGGCCTATGCTGAAAAAGGAAATATCTACCTACAGAAACTAGACAGAAGCATTCTGAGAATCACGTTTGTGATGTGGGTACTCAACTAACAGTGTTGATCCATTCTTTTGATACAGCAGTTTTGAACCACCCTTTTTGTAGAATCTGCAAGTGGATATTTGGATAGCTGTGAGGATTTCGTTGGAAACGGGAATGTCTTCATAGAAAATTTAGACAGAAGCATTCTCAGAACCTTGATTGTGATGTGTGTTCTCAACTAACAGGGTTGAACCTTTCTTTGGACAGAACTGTTTTGAAACATTCTTTTTATAGAATCTGGAAGTGGATATTTGGAAAGCTTTGAGGATTTCGTTGGAAACGGGAATATCTTCAAATCAAATCTAGCCAGAAGCATTCTAAGAAACATCTTAGGGATGTTTACATTCAAGTCACAGAGTTGAACATTCCCCTTTCTCAGAGCAGGTTTGAAACAATCTTCTCGTACTATCTGGCAGTGGACATTTTGAGCTCCTTGGGGCCTATGCTGAAAAAGGAAATATCTTCCGACAAAAACTAGACAGAAGCATTCGCAGAATCACGTTTGTGATGTGTGCACTCAACTGTCAGAATTGAACCTTGGTTTGGACAGAGCACTTTTGAAACACTCTTTTTGTAGAATCTGCAGGTGGATATTTGGCTAGCTTTGAGGATTTCGTTGGAAACGGTAATGTCTTCAAAGAAAATCTAGACAGAAGCATTCTCAGAAACACCTTCGTGATGTTTGCAATCAAGTCACAGAGTTGAACCTTCCGTTTCATAGAGCAGGTTGGAAACACTCTTTTTGTAGTATCTGGAAGTGGACATTTGGAGGGCTTTGTAGCCTATCTGGAAAAAGGAAATATCTTCCCATGAATGCGAGATAGAAGTAATCTCAGAAACATGTTTATGCTGTATCTACTCAACTAACTGTGCTGAACATGTCTATTGATAGAGCAGTTTTGAGACACTCTTCTTTTGGAATCTGCAAGTGGATATTTGGATAGATTTGAGGATTTCGTTGGAAACGGGATTATATATAAAAAGTAGACAGCAGCATTCTCAGAAACTTCTTTGTGATGTTTGCATCCAGCTCTCAGAGTTGAGCATTCCCTTTCATAGAGTAGGTTTGAAACCCTCTTTTTATAGTGTCTGGAAGCGGGCATTTGGAGCGCTTTCAGGCCTATGCTTAAAATAGGAAATATCTACCTACAGAAACTAGACAGAAGCATTCTGAGAATCACGTTTGTGATGTGGGTACTCAACTAACAGTGTTGATCCATTCTTTTGATACAGCAGTTTTGAACCACACTTTTTGTAGAATCTGCAAGAGGATATTTGGATAGCAGTGAGGATTTCGTTGGAAACGGGAATGTCTTCAAAGAATATCTAGACAGAAGCATTCTCAGAAACACCTTCGTGATGTTTGCAATCAAGTCACAGAGTTGAACCTTCCGTTTCATAGAGCAGGTTGGAAACACTCTTATTGTAGTATCTGGAAGTGGACATTTGGAGCGCTTTCAGGCCTATGGTGAAAAAGGAAATATCTTCCCATAAAAACGACATAGAAGCTATCTCAGGAACTTGTTTATGATGCATCTAATCAACTAACAGTGTTGAACCTTTGTACTGACAGAGCAGTTTGAAACACTCTTTTTTTGGAATCTGCAAGTGGATATTTGGATCGCTTTGAGGATTTCGTTGGAAACGGGATGCAATATAAAACGTACACAGCAGCATACTCAGAAAATACTTTGCCATATTTCCATTCAAGTCACAGAGTGGAACATTCCCATTCATAGAGCAGGTTTGAAACACTTTTTTTGGAGTGTCTGGAAGTGGACATTTGGAGCGCTTTCAGAACTATGGTGAAAAAGGAAATATCTTCCAATGAAAACAAGACAGAAGCATTCTGAGAAACTTATTTGTGATGCGTGTCCTCAACTTACGGACTCGAACCTTTCGTTTCATGCAGTACTTCTGGAACACTCTTTTTGAAGATTCTGCATGCGGATATTTGGTTAGCTTTGAGGATTTCGTTGGAAACGGGCTTACATATAAAAATTAGACAGCAGCATTCTCAGAAACTTCTTTGTGGTGTCTGCATTCAAGTCACAGAATTGAACATCCCCTCACATAGAGCAGTTGTGCAGCACTCTATTTGTAGTATCTCGAAGTGGACATTTGGAGGGCTTTGTAGCCTATCTGGAAAAAGGAAATATCTTCCCATGAAAGCCAGATAGAAGTAATCTCAGAAACATGTTTATGCTGTATCTACTCAACTAACTGTGCTGAACATTTCTATTGATAGAGCAGTTTTGAGACACTCTTCTTTTGGAATCTGCAAGTGGATATTTGGATAGATTTGAGGATTTCGTTGGAAACGGGATTATATATAAAAAGTAGACAGCAGCATTCTCAGAAACTTCTTTGTGATGTTTGCATCCAGCTCTCAGAGTTGAACATTCCCTTTCATAGAGTAGGTTTGAAACCCCCTTTTTATACTGTCTGGAAGCGGGCATTTGGAGCGCTTTCAGGCCTATGCTGAAAAAGGAATTATCTACCTACAGAAACTAGACAGAAGCATTCTGAGAATCACGTTTGTGATGTGGGTACTCAACTAACAGTGTTGATCCATTCTTTTGATACAGCAGTTTTGAACCACCCTTTTTGTAGAATCTGCAAGTGGATATTTGGATAGCTGTGAGGATTTCGTTGGAAACGGGAATGTCTTCATAGAAAATTTAGACAGAAGCATTCTCAGAACCTGGATTGTGATGTGAGTTCTCCACTAACAGAGTTGAACCTTTCTTTGGACAGAACTGATTTGAAACATTCTTTTTATAGAATCTGGAAGTGGATATTTGGAAAGTTTTGAGGATTTCGTTGGAAATGGGAATATCTTCAAATAAAATCTAGCCAGAAGCATTCTAAGAAACATCTTAGGGATGTTTACATTCAAGTCACAGAGTTGAACATTCCCTTTCACAGAGCAGGTTTGAAACAATCTTCTCGTACTATCTGGCAGTGGACATTTTGAGCTCCTTGGGGCCTATGCTGAAAAAGGAAATATCTTCCGACAAAAACTAGACAGAAGCATTCGCAGAATCACGTTTGTGATGTGTGCACTCAACTGTCAGAATTGAACCTTGGTTTGGACAGAGCACTTTTGAAACACTCTTTTTGTAGAATCTGCAGGTGGATATTTGGCTAGCTTTGAGGATTTCGTTGGAAACGGTAATGTCTTCAAAGAAAATCTAGACAGAAGCATTCTCAGAAACACCTTCGTGATGTTTGCAATCAAGTCACAGAGTTGAACCTTCCGTTTCATAGAGCAGGTTGGAAACACACTTTTTGTAGTATCTGGAAGTGGACATTTGGAGGGCTTTGTAGCCTATCTGGAAAAAGGAAATATCTTCCCATGAATGCGAGATAGAATCTATATCAGGAACTTGTTTATGATGCATCTAATCAACTAACAGTGTTGAACCTTTGTACTGACAGAGCAGTTTGAAACACTCTTTTTTTGGAATCTGCAAGTGGATATTTGGATCGCTTTGAGGATTTCGTTGGAAACGGGATGCAATATAAAACGTACACAGCAGCATACTCAGAAAATACTTTGCCATATTTCCATTCAAGTCACAGAGTGGAACATTCCCATTCATAGAGCAGGTTTGAAACACTCTTTTTGGAGTATCTGGAAGTGGACATTTGGAGCGCTTTCTGAACTATGGTGAAAAAGGAAATATCTTCCAATGAAAACAAGCAGAAGCATTCTGAGAAACTTATTTGTGATGTGTGTCCTCAACAAACGGACTTGAACCTTTCGTTTCATGCAGTACTTCTGGAACACTCTTTTTGAAGATTCTGCATGCGGATATTTGGATAGCTTTGAGGATTTCGTTGGAAACGGGCTTACATGTAAAAATTAGACAGCAGCATTCTCAGAAACTTCTTTGTGGTGTCTGCATTCAAGTCACAGAATTGAACTTCCCCTCACATAGAGCAGTTGTGCAGCACTCTATTTGTAGTATCTGGAAGTGGACATTTGGAGGGCTTTGTAGCCTATCTGGAAAAAGGAAATATCTTCCCATGAATGCGAGATAGAAGTAATCTCAGAAACATGTTTATGCCTGTATCTACTCAACTAACTGTGCTGAACATTTCTATTGATAGAGCAGTTTTGAGACACTCTTCTTTTGGAATCTGCAAGTGGATATTTGGATAGATTTGAGGATTTCGTTGGAAACGGGATTATATATAAAAAGTAGACAGCAGCATTCTCAAAACTTCTTTGTGATGTTTGCATCCAGCTCTCAGAGTTGAACATTCCCTTTCATAGAGTAGGTTTGAAACCCCCTTTTTATAGTGTCTGGAAGCGGGCATTAGGAACGCTTTCAGGCCTATGCTGAAAAAGGAAATATCTACCTACAGAAACTAGACAGAAGCATTCTGAGAATCACGTTTGTGATGTGGGTACTCAACTAACAGTGTTGATCCATTCTTTTGATACAGCAGTTTTGAACCACCCTTTTTGTAGAATCTGCAAGTGGATATTTGGATAGCTGTGAGGATTTCGTTGGAAACGGGAATGTCTTCATAGAAAATTTAGACAGAAGCATTCTCAGAACCTGGATTGTGATGTGTGTTCTCCACTAACAGAGTTGAACCTTTCTTTGGACAGAACTGTTTTGAAACATTCTTTTTATAGAATCTGGAAGTGGATATTTGGAAAGCTTTGAGGATTTCGTTGGAAACGGGAATATCTTCAAATAAAATCTAGCCAGAAGCATTCTAAGAAACATCTTAGGGATGTTTACATTCAAGTCACAGAGTTGAACATTCCCCTTTCTCAGAGCAGGTTTGAAACAATCTTCTCGTACTATCTGGCAGTGGACATTTTGAGCTCCTTGGGGCCTATGCTGAAAAAGGAAATATCTTCCGACAAAAACTAGACAGAAGCATTCGCAGAATCACGTTTGTGATGTGTGCACTCAACTGTCAGAATTGAACCTTTGTTTGGACAGAGCACTTTTGAAACACTCTTTTTGTAGGATCTGCAGGTGGATATTTGGCTAGCTTTGAGGATTTCGTTGGAAACGGTAATGTCTTCAAAGAAAATCTAGACAGAAGCATTCTCAGAAACACCTTCGTGATGTTTGCAATCAAGTCACAGAGTTGAACCTTCCGTTTCATAGAGCAGGTTGGAAACACTCTTATTGTAGTATCTGGAAGTGGACATTTGGAGCGCTTTCAGGCCTATGGTGAAAAAGGAAATATCTTCCCATAAAAACGACATAGAAGCTGTCTCAGGAACTTGTTTATGATGCATCTAATCAACTAACAGTGTTGAACCTTTGTACTGACAGAGCACTTTGAAACACTCTTTTTTTGGAATCTGCAAGTGGATATTTGGATCGCTTTGAGGATTTCGTTGGAAACGGGATGCAATATAAAACGTACACAGCAGCATACTCAGAAAATACTTTGCCATATTTCCATTCAAGTCACAGAGTGGAACATTCCCATTCATAGAGCAGGTTGGAAACACTCTTTTTGGAGTATCTGGAAGTGGACATTTGGAGCGCTTTCTGAACTATGGTGAAAAAGGAAATATCTTCCAATGAAAACAAGACAGAAGCATTCTGAGAAACTTATTTGTGATGTGTGTCCTCAACAAACGGACTTGAACCTTTCGTTTCATGCAGTACTTCTGGAACACTCTTTTTGAAGATTCTGCATGCGGATATTTGGATAGCTTTGAGGATTTCGTTGGAAACGGCCTTACATGTAAAAATTAGACAGCAGCATTCTCAGAAACTTCTTTGTGGTGTCTGCATTCAAGTCACAGAATTGAACTTCCCCTCACATAGAGCAGTTGTGCAGCACTCTATTTGTAGTATCTGGAAGTGGACATTTGGAGGGCTTTGTAGCCTATCTGGAAAAAGGAAATATCTTCCCATGAATGCGAGATAGAAGTAATCTCAGAAACATGTTTATGCTGTATCTACTCAACTAACTGTGCTGAACATTTCTATTGATAGAGCAGTTTTCAGACACTCTTCTTTTGGAATCTGCAAGTGGATATTTGGATAGATTTGAGGATTTCGTTGGAAACGGGATTATATATCAAAAGTAGACAGCAGCATTCTCAGAAACTTCTTTGTGATGTTTGCATCCAGCTCTCAGAGTTGAACATTCCCTTTCATAGAGTAGGTTTGAAACCCTCTTTTTATAGTGTCTGGAAGCGGGCATTTGGAGCGCTTTCAGGCCTATGCTTAAAATAGGAAATATCTACCTACAGAAACTAGACAGAAGCATTCTGAGAATCTCGTTTGTGATGTGGGTACTCAACTAACAGTGTTGATCCATTCGTTTGATACAGCAGTTTTGAACCACACTTTTTGTAGAATCTGCAAGAGGATATTTGGATAGCTGTGAGGATTTCGTTGGAAACGGGAATGTCTTCAAAGAAAATCTAGACAGAAACATTCTCAGAAACACCTTCGTGATGTTTGCAATCAAGTCACAGAGTTGAACCTTCCGTTTCATAGAGCAGGTTGGAAACACTCTTATTGTAGTATCTGGAAGTGGACATTTGGAGCGCTTTCAGGCCTATGGTGAAAAAGGAAATATCTTCCCATAAAAACAACATAGAAGCTATCTCAGGAACTTGTTTATGATGCATCTAATCAACTAACAGTGTTGAACCTTTGTACTGACAGAGCAGTTTGAAACACTCTTTTTTTGGAATCTGCAAGTGGATATTTGGATCGCTTTGAGGATTTCGTTGGAAACGGGATGCAATATAAAACGTACACAGCAGCATACTCAGGAAATACTTTGCCATATTTCCATTCAAGTCAGAGAGTGGAACATTCCCATTCATAGAGCAGGTTTGAAACACTCTTTTTGGAGTATCTGGAAGTGGACATTTGGAGCGCTTTCTGAACTATGGTGAAAAAGGAAATATCTTCCAATGAAAACAAGACAGAAGCATTCTGAGAAACTTATTTGTGATGTGTGTCCTCAACAAACGGACTTGAACCTTTCGTTTCATGCAGTACTTCTGGAACACTCTTTTTGAAGATTCTGCATGCGGATATTTGGATAGCTTTGAGGATTTCGTTGGAAACGGGCTTACATGTAAAAATTAGACAGCAGCATTCTCAGAAACTTCTTTGTGGTGTCTGCATTCAAGTCACAGAATTGAACTTCCCCTCACATAGAGCAGTTGTGCAGCACTCTATTTGTAGTATCTGGAAGTGGACATTTGGAGGGCTTTGTAGCCTATCTGGAAAAAGGAAATATCTTCCCATGAATGCGAGATAGAAGTAATCTCAGAAACATGTTTATGCTGTATCTACTCAACTAACTGTGCTGAACATTTCTATTGATAGAGCAGTTTTGAGACCCTCTTCTTTTGGAATCTGCAAGTGGATATTTGGATAGATTTGAGGATTTCGTTGGAAACGGGATTATATATAAAAAGTAGACAGCAGCATTCTCAGAAACTTCTTTGTGATGTTTGCATCCAGCTCTCAGAGTTGAACATTCCCTTTCATAGAGTAGGTTTGAAACCCTCTTTTTATAGTGTCTGGAAGCGGGCATTTGGAGCGCTTTCAGGCCTATGCTGAAAAAGGAAATATCTACCTATAGAAACTAGACAGAAGCATTCTGAGAATCACGTTTGTGATGTGGGTACTCAACTAACAGTGTTGATCCATTCTTTTGATACAGAAGTTTTGAACCACACTTTTTGTAGAATCTGCAAGTGGATATTTGGATAGCTGTGAGGATTTCGTTGGAAACGGGAATGTCTTCATAGAAAATTTAGACAGAAGCATTCTCAGAACCTTGATTGTGATGTGTGTTCTCCACTAACAGAGTTGAACCTTTCTTTTGACAGAACTGTTCTGAAACATTCTTTTTATAGAATCTGGAAGTGGATATTTGGAAAGCTTTGAGGATTTCGTTGGAAACGGGAATATCTTCAAATCAAATCTAGCCAGAAGCATTCTAAGAAACATCTTAGGGATGTTTACATTCAAGTCACAGAGTTGAACATTCCCTTTCACAGAGCAGGTTTGAAACAATCTTCTCGTACTATCTGGCAGTGGACATTTTGAGCTCCTTGGGGCCTATGCTGAAAAAGGAAATATCTTCCGACAAAAACTAGACAGAAGCATTCGCAGAATCACGTTTGTGATGTGTGCACTCAACTGTCAGAATTGAACCTTGGTTTGGAGAGAGCACTTTTGAAACACACTTTTTGTAGAATCTGCAGGTGGATATTTGGCTAGCTTTGAGGATTTCGTTGGAAACGGTAATGTCTTCAAAGAAAATCTAGACAGAAGCATTCTCAGAAACACCTTCGTGATGTTTGCAATCAAGTCACAGAGTTGAACCTTCCGTTTCATAGAGCAGGTTGGAAACACACTTTTTGTAGTATCTGGAAGTGGACATTTGGAGGGCTTTGTAGCCTATCTGGAAAAAGGAAATATCTTCCCATGAATGCGAGATAGAAGCTATCTCAGGAACTTGTTTATGATGCATCTAATCAACTAACAGTGTTGAACCTTTGTACTGACAGAGCAGTTTGAAACACTCTTTTTTTGGAATCTGCAAGTGGATATTTGGATCGCTTTGAGGATTTCGTTGGAAACGGGATGCAATATAAAACGTACACAGCAGCATACTCAGAAAATACTTTGCCATATTTCCATCCAAGTCACAGAGTGGAACATTCCCATTCATAGAGCAGGTTTGAAACACTTTTTTTGGAGTGTCTGGAAGTGGACATTTGGAGCGCTTTCAGAACTATGGTGAAAAAGGAAATATCTTCCAATGAAAACAAGACAGAAGCATTCTGAGAAACTTATTTGTGATGCGTGTCCTCAACTAACGGACTCGAACCTTTCGTTTCATGCAGTACTTCTGGAACACTCTTTTTGAAGATTCTGCATGCGGATATTTGGTTAGCTTTGAGGATTTCGTTGGAAACGGGCTTACATATAAAAATTAGACAGCAGCATTCTCAGAAACTTCTTTGTGGTGTCTGCATTCAAGTCACAGAATTGAACATCCCCTCACATAGAGCAGTTGTGCAGCACTCTATTTGTAGTATCTCGAAGTGGACATTTGGAGGGCTTTGTAGCCTATCTGGAAAAAGGAAATATCTTCCCATGAATGCGAGATAGAAGTAATCTCAGAAACATGTTTATGCTGTATCTACTCAACTAACTGTGCTGAACATTTCTATTGATAGAGCAGTTTTGAGACACTCTCCTTTTGGAATCTGCAAGTGGATATTTGGATAGATTTGAGGATTTCCTTGGAAACGGGATTATATATCAAAAGTAGACAGCAGCATTCTCAGAAACTTCTTTGTGATGTTTGCATCCAGCTCTCAGAGTTGAACATTCCCTTTCATAGAGTAGGTTTGAAACCCTCTTTTTATAGTGTCTGGAAGCGGGCATTTGGAGCGCTTTCAGGCCTATGCTTAAAATAGGAAATATCTACCTACAGAAACTAGACAGAAGCATTCTGAGAATCTCGTTTGTGATGTGGGTACTCAACTAACAGTGTTGATCCATTCTTTAGATACAGCAGTTTTGAACCACACTTTTTGTAGAATCTGCAAGAGGATATTTGGATAGCTGTGAGGATTTCGTTGGAAACGGGAATGTCTTCAAAGAAAATCTAGACAGAAACATTCTCAGAAACACCTTCGTGATGTTTGCAATCAAGTCACAGAGTTGAACCTTCCGTTTCATAGAGCAGGTTGGAAACACTCTTATTGTAGTATCTGGAAGTGGACATTTGGAGCGCTTTCAGGCCTATGGTGAAAAAGGAAATATCTTCCCATAAAAACGACATAGAAGCTATCTAAGGAACTTGTTTATGATGCATCTAATCAACTAACAGTGTTGAACCTTTGTACTGACAGAGCAGTTTGAAACACTCTTTTTTTGGAATCTGCAAGTGGATATTTGGATCGCTTTGAGGATTTCGTTGGAAACTGGATGCAATATAAAACGTACACAGCAGCATACTCAGAAAATACTTTGCCATATTTCCATTCAAGTCACAGAGTGGAACATTCCCATTCATAGAGCAGGTTTGAAACACTCTTTTTGGAGTCTCTGGAAGTGGACATTTGGAGCGCTTTCTGAACTATGGTGAAAAAGGAAATATCTTCCAATGAAAACAAGACAGAAGCATTCTGAGAAACTTATTTGTGATGCGTGTCCTCAACTAACGGACTCGAAGCTTTCGTTTCATGCAGTACTTCTGGAACACTCTTTTTGAAGATTCTGCATGCGGATATTTGGTTAGCTTTGAGGATTTCGTTGGAAACGGGCTTACATATAAAAATTAGACAGGAGCATTCTCAGAAACTTCTCTGTGGTGTCTGCATCCAAGTCACAGAATTGAACATCCCCTCACATAGAGCAGCTGTGCAGCACTCTATTTGTAGTATCTCGAAGTGGACATTTGGAGGGCTTTGTAGCCTATCTGGAAAAAGGAAATATCTTCCCATGAATGCGAGATAGAAGTAATCTCAGAAACATGTTTATGCTGTATCTACTCAACTAACTGTGCTGAACATTTCTATTGATAGAGCAGTTTTGAGACACTCTCCTTTTGGAATCTGCAAGTGGATATTTGGATAGATTTGAGGATTTCCTTGGAAACGGGATTATATATCAATAGTAGACAGCAGCATTCTCAGAAACTTCTTTGTGATGTTTGCATCCAGCTCTCAGAGTTGAACATTCCCTTTCATAGAGTAGGTTTGAAACCCTCTTTTTATAGTGTCTGGAAGCGGGCATTTGGAGCGCTTTCAGGCCTATGCTTAAAATAGGAAATATCTACCTACAGAAACTAGACAGAAGCATTCTGAGAATCACGTTTGTGATGTGGGTACTCAACTAACAGTGTTGATCCATTCTTTTGATACAGCAGTTTTGAACCACACTTTTTGTAGAACCTGCAAGAGGATATTTGGATAGCTGTGAGGATTTCGTTGGAAACGGGGATGTCTTCAAAGAAAATCTAGACAGAAGCATTCTCAGAAACACCTTCGTGATGTTTGCAATCAAGTCACAGAGTTGAACCTTCCGTTTCATAGAGCAGGTTGGAAACACTCTTATTGTAGTATCTGGAAGTGGACATTTGGAGCGCTTTCAGGCCTATGGTGAAAAAGGAAATATATTCCCATAAAAACGACATAGAAGCTATCTCAGGAACTTGTTTATGATGCATCTAATCAACTAACAGTGTTGAACCTTTGTACTGACAGAGCAGTTTGAAACACTCTTTTTTTGGAATCTGCAAGTGGATATTTGGATCGCTTTGAGGATTTCGTTGGAAACGGGATGCAATATAAAACGTACACAGCAGCATACTCAGAAAATACTTTGCCATATTTCCATTCAAGTCACAGAGTGGAACATTCCCATTCATAGAGCAGGTTGGAGACACTCTTTTTGGAGTATCTGGAAGTGGACATTTGGAGCGCTTTCTGAACTATGGTGAAAAAGGAAATATCTTCCAATGAAAACAAGACAGAAGCATTCTGAGAAATTTATTTGTGATGTGTGTCCTCAACAAACGGACTTGAACCTTTCGTTTCATGCAGTACTTCTGGAACACTCTTTTTGAAGATTCTGCATGCGGATATTTGGATAGCTTTGAGGATTTCGTTGGAAACGGGCTTACATGTAAAAATTAGACAGCAGCATTCTCAGAAACTTCTTTGTGGTGTCTGCATTCAAGTCACAGAATTGAACTTCCCCTCACATAGAGCAGTTGTGCAGCACTCTATTTGTAGTATCTGGAAGTGGACATTTGGAGGGCTTTGTAGCCTATCTGGAAAAAGGAAATATCTTCCCATGAATGCGAGATAGAAGTAATCTCAGAAACATGTTTATGCTGTATCTACTCAACTAACTGTGCTGAACATTTCTATTGATAGAGCAGTTTTGAGACACTCTTCTTTTGGAATCTGCAAGTGGATATTTGGATAGATTTGAGGATTTCGTTGGAAACGGGATTATATATAAAAAGTAGACAGCAGCATTCTCAGAAACTTCTTTGTGATGTTTGCATCCAGCTCTCAGAGTTGAACATTCCCTTTCATAGAGTAGGTTTGAAACCCTCTTTTTATAGTGTCTGGAAGCGGGCATTTGGAGCGCTTTCAGGCCTATGCTTAAAATAGGAAATATCTACCTACAGAAACTAGACAGAAGCATTCTGAGAATCACGTTTGTGATGTGGGTACTCAACTAACAGTGTTGATCCATTCTTTTGATACAGCAGTTTTGAACCACACTTTTTGTAGAATCTGCAAGAGGATATTTGGATAGCTGTGAGGATTTCGTTGGAAACGGGAATGTCTTCAAAGAAAATCTAGACAGAAGCATTCTCAGAAACACCTTCGTGATGTTTGCAATCAAGTCACAGAGTTGAACCTTCCGTTTCATAGAGCAGGTTGGAAACACTCTTATTGTAGTATCTGGAAGTGGACATTTGGAGCGCTTTCAGGCCTATGGTGAAAAAGGAAATATCTTCCCATAAAAACGACATAGAAACTATCTCAGGAACTTGTTTATGTTGCATCTAATCAACTAACAGTGTTGAACCTTTGTACTGACAGAGGAGTTTGAAACACTCTTTTTTTGGAATCTGCAAGTGGATATTTGGATCGCTTTGAGGATTTCGTTGGAAACGGGATGCAATATAAAACGTACACAGCAGCATACTCAGAAAATACTTTGCCATATTTCCATTCAAGTCACAGAGTGGAACATTCCCATTCATAGAGCAGGTTTGAAACACTCTTTTTGGAGTATCTGGAAGTGGACATTTGGAGCGCTTTCTGAACTATGGTGAAAAAGGAAATATCTTCCAATGAAAACAAGACAGAAGCATTCTGAGAAACTTATTTGTGATGTGTGTCCTCAACAAACGGACTTGAACCTTTCGTTTCATGCAGTACTTCTGGAACACTCTTTTAGAAGATTCTGCATGCGGATATTTGGATAGCTTTGAGGATTTCGTTGGAAACGGGCTTACATGTAAAAATTAGACAGCAGCATTCTCAGAAACTTCTTTGTGGTGTCTGCATTCAAGTCACAGAATTGAACTTCCCCTCACATAGAGCAGTTGTGCAGCACTCTATTTGTAGTATCTCGAAGTGGACATTTGGAGGGCTTTGTAGCCTATCTGGAAAAAGGAAATATCTTCCCATGAATGCGAGATAGAAGTAATCTCAGAAACATGTTTATGCTGTATCTTCTCAACTAACTGTGCTGAACATTTCTATTGATAGAGCAGTTTTGAGACACTCTTCTTTTGGAATCTGCAAGTGGATATTTGGATAGATTTGAGGATTTCGTTGGAAACGGGATTATATATAAAAAGTAGACAGCAGCATTCTCAGAAACTTCTTTGTGATGTTTGCATCCAGCTCTCAGAGTTGAACATTCCCTTTCATAGAGTAGGTTTGAAACCCTCTTTTTATAGTGTCTGGAAGCGGGCATTTGGAGCGCTTTCAGGCCTATGCTTAAAATAGGAAATATCTACCTACAGAAACTAGACAGAAGCATTCTGAGAATCACGTTTGTGATGTGGGTACTCAACTAACAGTGTTGATCCATTCTTTTGATACAGCAGTTTTGAACCACACTTTTTGTAGAATCTGCAAGTGGATATTTGGATAGCTGTGAGGATTTCGTTGGAAACGGGAATGTCTTCATAGGAAATTTAGACAGAAGCATTCTCAGAACCTTGATTGTGATGTGTGTTCTCCACTAACAGAGTTGAACCTTTCTTTAGACAGAACTGTTGTGAAACATTCTTTTTATAGAATCTGGAAGTGGATATTTGGAAAGCTTTGAGGATTTCATTGGAAACGGGAATATCTTCAAATAAAATCTAGCCAGAAGCATTCTAAGAAACATCTTAGGGATGTTTACATTCAAGTCACAGAGTTGAACATTCCCTTTCACAGAGCAGGTTTGAAACAATCTTCTCGTACTATCTGGCAGTGGACATTTTGAGCTCCTTGGGGCCTATGCTGAAAAAGGAAATATCTTCCGACAAAAACTAGACAGAAGCATTCGCAGAATCACGTTTGTGATGTGTGCACTCAACTGTCAGAATTGAACCTTGGTTTGGACAGAGCACTTTTGAAACACTCTTTTTGTAGAATCTGCAGGTGGATATTTGGCTAGCTTTGAGGATTTCGTTGGAAACGGTAATGTCTTCAAAGAAAATCTAGACAGAAGCATTCTCAGAAACACCTTCGTGATGTTTGCAATCAAGTCACAGAGTTGAACCTTCCGTTTCATAGAGCAGGTTGGAAACACTCTTATTGTAGTATCTGGAAGTGGACATTTGGAGCGCTTTCAGGCCTATGGTGAAAAAGGAAATATCTTCCCATAACAACGACATAGAAGCTATCTCAGGAACTTGTTTATGATGCATCTAATCAACTAACAGTGTTGAACCTTTGTACTGACAGAGCAGTTTGAAACACTCTTTTTTTCGAATCTGCAAGTGGATATTTGGATCGCTTTGAGGATTTCGTTGGAAACGGGATGCAATATAAAACGTACACAGCAGCATACTCAGAAAATTCTTTGCCATATTTCCATTCAAGTCACAGAGTGGAACATTCCCATTCATAGAGCAGGTTGGAAACACTCTTTTTGGAGTATCTGGAAGTGGACATTTGGAGCGCTTTCTGAACTATGGTGAAAAAGGAAATATCTTCCAATGAAAACAAGACAGAAGCATTCTGAGAAACTTATTTGTGATGTGTGTCCTCAACAAACGGACTTGAACCTTTCGTTTCATGCAGTACTTCTGGAACACTCTTTTTGAAGATTCTGCATGCGGATATTTGGATTGCTTTGAGGATTTCGTTGGAAACGGGCTTACATGTAAAAATTAGACAGCAGCATTCTCAGAAACTTCTTTGTGGTGTCTGCATTCAAGTCACAGAATTGAACATCCCCTCACATAGAGCAGTTGTGCAGCACTCTATTTGTAGTATCTGGAAGTGGACATTTGGAGGGCTTTGTAGCCTATCTGGAAAAAGGAAATATCTTCCCATGAATGCGAGATAGTAGTAATCTCAGAAACATGTTTATGCTGTATCTACACAACTAACTGTGCTGAACATTTCTATTGATAGAGCAGTTTTGAGACCCTCTTCTTTTGGAATCTGCAAGTGGATATTTGGATAGATTTGAGGATTTCGTTGGAAACGGGATTATATATAAAAAGTAGACAGCAAGCATTCTCAGAAAACTTCTTTGTGATGTTTGCATCCAGCTCTCAGAGTTGAACATTCCCTTTCATAGAGTAGGTTTGAAACCCTCTTTTTATAGTGTCTAGAAGCGGGCATTTGGAGCGCTTTCAGGCCTATGCTTAAAATAGGAAATATCCACCTACAGAAACTAGACAGAAGCATTCTGAGAATCACGTTTGTGATGTGGGTACTCAACTAACAGTGTTGATCCATTCTTTTGATACAGCAGTTTTGAACCACACTTTTTGTAGAATCTGCAAGAGGAAATTTGGATAGCTGTGAGGATTTCGTTGGAAACGGGAATGTCTTCAAAGAAAATCTAGACAGAAGCATTCTCAGAACCTTGATTGTGATGTGTGTTCTCCACTAACAGAGTTGAACCTTTCTTTTGACAGAACTGTTCTGAAACATTCTTTTTATAGAATCTGGAAGTGGATATTTGGAAAGCTTTGAGGATTTCGTTGGAAACGGGAATATCTTCAAATCAAATCTAGCCAGAAGCATTCTAAGAAACATCTTAGGGATGTTTACATTCAAGTCACAGAGTTGAACATTCCCTTTCACAGAGCAGGTTTGAAACAATCTTCTCGTACTATCTGGCAGTGGACATTTTGAGCTCCTTGGGGCCTATGCTGAAAAAGGAAATATCTTCCGACAAAAACTAGACAGAAGCATTCGCAGAATCACGTTTGTGATGTGTGCACTCAACTGTCAGAATTGAACCTTGGTTTGGACAGAGCACTTTTGAAACACTCTTTTTGTAGAATCTGCAGGTGGATATTTGGCTAGCTTTGAGGATTTCGTTGGAAACGGTAATGTCTTCAAAGAAAATCTAGACAGAAGCATTCTCAGAAACACCTTCGTGATGTTTGCAATCAAGTCACAGAGTTGAACCTTCCGTTTCATAGAGCAGGTTGGAAACACTCTTATTGTAGTATCTGGAAGTGGACATTTGGAGCGCTTTCAGGCCTATGGTGAAAAAGGAAATATCTTCCCATAAAAACGATATAGAAAGCTATCTCAGGAACTTGTTTATGATGCATCCAATCAACTAACAGTGTTGAACCTTTGTACTGACAGAGCAGTGTGAAACACTCTTTTTTTTGGAATCTGCAAGTGGATATTTGGATCGCTTTGAGGATTTCGTTGGAAACGGGATGCAATATAAAACGTAAACAGCAGCATACTCAGAAAATTCTTTGCCATATTTCCATTCAAGTCACAGAGTGGAACATTCCCATTCATAGAGCAGGTTGGAAACACTCTTTTTGGAGTATCTGGAAGTGGACATTTGGAGCGCTTTCTGAACTATGGTGAAAAAGGAAATATCTTCCAATGAAAACAAGACAGAAGCATTCTGAGAAACTTATTTGTGATGTGTGTCCTCAACTAACGGACTTGAACCTTTCGTTTCATGCAGTACTTCTGGAACACTCTTTTTGAAGATTCTGCATGCGGATCTTTGGATAGCTTTGAGGATTTCGTTGGAAACGGGCTTACATGTAAAAATTAGACAGCAGCATTCTCAGAAACTTCTTTGTGGTGTCTGCATTCAAGTCACAGAATTGAACTTCCCCTCACATAGAGCAGTTGTGCAGCACTCTATTTGTAGTATCTGGAAGTGGACATTTGGAGGGCTTTGTAGCCTATCTGGAAAAAGGAAATATCTTCCCATGAATGCGAGATAGAAGTAATCTCAGAAACATGTTTATGCTGTATGTACTCAACTAACTGTGCTGAACATTTCTATTGATAGAGCAGTTTTGAGACACTCTTCTTTTGGAATCTGCAAGTGGATATTTGGATAGATTTGAGGATTTCGTTGGAAACGGGATTATATATAAAAAGTAGACAGCAGCATTCTCAGAAACTTCTTTGTGATGTTTGCATCCAGCTCTCAGAGTTGAACATTCCCTTTCATAGAGTAGGTTTGAAACCCTCTTTTTATAGTGTCTGGAAGCGGGCATTTGGAGCGCTTTCAGGCCTATGCTGAAAAAGGAAATATCTACCTATAGAAACTAGACAGAAGCATTCTGAGAATCACGTTTGTGATGTGGGTACTCAACTAACAGTGTCGATCCATTCTTTTGATACAGCAGTTTTGAACCACACTTTTTGTAGAATCTGCAAGTGGATATTTGGATAGCTGTGAGGATTTCGTTGGAAACGGGAATGTCTTCATAGAAAATTTAGACAGAAGCATTCTCAGAACCTTGATTGTGATGTGTGTTCTCCACTAACAGAGCTGAACCTTTCTTTTGACAGAACTGTTCTGAAACATTCTTTTTATAGAATCTGGAAGTGGATATTTGGAAAGCTTTGAGGATTTCGTTGGAAACGGGAATATCTTCAAATCAAATCTAGCCAGAAGCATTCTAAGAAACAGCTTAGGGATGTTTACATTCAAGTCACAGAGTTGAACATTCCCTTTCACAGAGCAGGTTTGAAACAATCTTCTCGTACTATCTGGCAGTGGACATTTTGAGCTCCTTGGGGCCTATGCTGAAAAAGGAAATATCTTCCGACAAAAACTAGACAGAAGCATTCGCAGAATCACGTTTGTGATGTGTGCACTCAACTGTCAGAATTGAACCTTGGTTTGGACAGAGCACTTTTGAAACACTCTTTTTGTAGAATCTGCAGGTGGATATTTGGCTAGCTTTGAGGATTTCGTTGGAAACGGTAATGTCTTCAAAGAAAATCTAGACAGAAGCATTCTCAGAAACACCTTCGTGATGTTTGCAATCAAGTCACAGAGTTGAACCTTCCGTTTCATAGAGCAGGTTGGAAACACTCTTATTGTAGTATCTGGAAGTGGACATTTGGAGCGCTTTCAGGCCTATGGTGAAAAAGGAAATATCTTCCCATAAAAACGACATAGAAGCTATCTCAGGAACTTGTTTATGATGCATCTAATCAACTAACAGTGTTGAACCTTTGTACTGACAGAGCAGTTTGAAACACTCTTTTTTTGGAATTTGCAAGTGGATATTTGGATCGCTTTGAGGATTTCGTTGGAAACGGGATGCAATATAAAACGTACACAGCAGCATACTCAGAAAATACTTTGCCATATTTCCATTCAAGTCACAGAGTGGAACATTCCCATTCATAGAGCAGGTTGGAAACACTCTTTTTGGAGTATCTGGAAGTGGACATTTGGAGCGCTTTCTGAACTATGGTGAAAAAGGAAATATCTTCCAAGAAAACAAGACAGAAGCATTCTGAGTAAACTTATTTGTGATGTGTGTCCTCAACAAACGGACTTGAACCTTTCGTTTCATGCAGTACTTCTGGAACACTCTTTTTGAAGATTCTGCATGCGGATATTTGGATAGCTTTGAGGATTTCGTTGGAAACGGGCTTACATGTAAAAATTAGACAGCAGCATTCTCAGAAACTTCTTTGTGGTGTCTGCATTCAAGTCACAGAATTGAACATCCCCTCACATAGAGCAGTTGTGCAGCACTCTATTTGTAGTATCTGGAAGTGGACATTTGGAGGGCTTTGTAGCCTATCTGGAAAAAGGAAATATCTTCCCATGAATGCGAGATAGAAGTAATCTCAGAAACATGTTTATGCTGTATCTACTCAACTAACTGTGCTGAACATTTCTATTGATAGAGCAGTTTTGAGACACTCTTCTTTTGGAATCTGCAAGTGGATATTTGGATAGATTTGAGGATTTCGTTGGAAACGGGATTATATATAAAAAGTAGACAGCAGCATTCTCAGAAACTTCTTTGTGATGTTTGCATCTAGCTCCCAGAGTTGAACGTTCCCTTTCATAGAGTAGTTTTGAAACCCTCTTTTTATAGTGTCTGGAAGCGGGCATTTGGAGCGCTTTCAGGCCTATGCTGAAAAAGGAAATATCTACCTATAGAAACTAGACAGAAGCATTCTGAGAATCACGTTTGTG
This sequence comes from Homo sapiens, assembly GCF_000001405.40. Taxonomy (NCBI): domain Eukaryota; kingdom Metazoa; phylum Chordata; class Mammalia; order Primates; family Hominidae; genus Homo; species Homo sapiens. The sequence goes on from NC_000008.11 coordinate 45,545,140, forward strand.
ATGTGGGTACTCAACTAACAGTGTTGATCCATTCTTTTGATACAGCAGTTTTGAACCACACTTTTTGTAGAATCTGCAAGTGGATATTTGGATAGCTGTGAGGATTTCGTTGGAAACGGGAATGTCTTCATAGAAAATTTAGACAGAAGCATTCTCAGAACCTTGATTGTGATGTGTGTTCTCCACTAACAGAGTTGAACCTTTCTTTTGACAGAACTGTTCTGAAACATTCTTTTTATAGAATCTGGAAGTGGATATTTGGAAAGCTTTGAGGATTTCGTTGGAAACGGGAATATCTTCAAATCAAATCTAGCCAGAAGCATTCTAAGAAACAGCTTAGGGATGTTTACATTCAAGTCACAGAGTTGAACATTCCCTTTCACAGAGCAGGTTTGAAACAATCTTCTCGTACTATCTGGCAGTGGACATTTTGAGCTCCTTGGGGCCTATGCTGAAAAAGGAAATATCTTCCGACAAAAACTAGACAGAAGCATTCGCAGAATCACGTTTGTGATGTGTGCACTCAACTGTCAGAATTGAACCTTTGTTTGGACAGAGCACTTTTGAAACACTCTTTTTGTAGAATCTGCAGGTGGATATTTGGCTAGCTTTGAGGATTTCGTTGGAAACGGTAATGTCTTCAAAGAAAATCTAGACAGAAGCATTCTCAGAAACACCTTCGTGATGTTTGCAATCAAGTCACAGAGTTGAACCTTCCGTTTCATAGAGCAGGTTGGAAACACTCTTATTGTAGTATCTGGAAGTGGACATTTGGAGCGCTTTCAGGCCTATGGTGAAAAAGGAAATATCTTCCCATAAAAACGACATAGAAGCTATCTCAGGAACTTGTTTATGATGCATCTAATCAACTAACAGTGTTGAACCTTTGTACTGACAGAGCAGTTTGAAACACTTTTTTTTTGGAATCTGCAAGTGGATATTTGGATCGCTTTGAGGATTTCGTTGGAAACGGGATGCAATATAAAACGTACACAGCAGCATACTCAGAAAATACTTTGCCATATTTCCATTCAAGTCACAGAGTGGAACATTCCCATTCATAGAGCAGGTTGGAAACACTCTTTTTGGAGTATCTGGAAGTGGACATTTGGAGCGCTTTCTGAACTATGGTGAAAAAGGAAATATCTTCCAATGAAAACAAGACAGAAGCATTCTGAGAAACTTATTTGTGATGTGTGTCCTCAACAAACGGACTTGAAACTTTCGTTTCATGCAGTACTTCTGGAACACTCTTTTTGAAGATTCTGCATGCGGATATTTGGATAGCTTTGAGGATTTCGTTGGAAACGGGCTTACATGTAAAAATTAGACAGCAGCATTCTCAGAAACTTCTTTGTGGTGTCTGCATTCAAGTCACAGAATTGAACTTCCCCTCACATAGAGCAGTTGTGCAGCACTCTATTTGTAGTATCTGGAAGTGGACATTTGGAGGGCTTTGTAGCCTATCTGGAAAAAGGAAATATCTTCCCATGAATGCGAGATAGAAGTAATCTCAGAAACATGTTTATGCTGTATCTACTCAACTAACTGTGCTGAACATTTCTATTGATAGAGCAGTTTTGAGACACTCTTCTTTTGGAATCTGCAAGTGGATATTTGGATAGATTTGAGGATTTCGTTGGAAACGGGATTATATATAAAAAGTAGACAGCAGCATTCTCAGAAACTTCTTTGTGATGTTTGCATCCAGCTCTCAGAGTTGAACATTCCCTTTCATAGAGTAGGTTTGAAACCCTCTTTTTATAGTGTCTGGAAGCGGGCATTTGGAGCGCTTTCAGGCCTATGCTGAAAAAGGAAATATCTACCTATAGAAACTAGACAGAAGCATTCTGAGAATCACGTTTGTGATGTGGGTACTCAACTAACAGTGTTGATCCATTCTTTTGATACAGCAGTTTTGAACCACACTTTTTGTAGAATCTGCAAGTGGATATTTGGATAGCTGTGAGGATTTCGTTGGAAACTTGAATGTCTTCATAGAAAATTTAGACAGAAGCATTCTCAGAACCTTGATTGTGATGTGTGTTCTCCACTAACAGAGTTGAACCTTTCTTTTGACAGAACTGTTCTGAAACATTCTTTTTATAGAATCTGGAAGTGGATATTTGGAAAGCTTTGAGGATTTCATTGGAAACGGGAATATCTTCAAATAAAATCTAGCCAGAAGCATTCTAAGAAACATCTTAGGGATGTTTACATTCAAGTCACAGAGTTGAACATTCCCTTTCACAGAGCAGGTTTGAAACAATCTTCTCGTACTATCTGGCAGTGGACATTTTGAGCTCCTTGGGGCCTATGCTGAAAAAGGAAATATCTTCCGACAAAAACTAGACAGAAGCATTCGCAGAATCACGTTTGTGATGTGTGCACTCAACTGTCAGAATTGAACCTTGGTTTGGACAGAGCACTTTTGAAACACTCTTTTTGTAGAATCTGCAGGTGGATATTTGGCTAGCTTTGAGGATTTCGTTGGAAACGGTAATGTCTTCAAAGAAAATCTAGACAGAAGCATTCTCAGAAACACCTTCGTGATGTTTGCAATCAAGTCACAGAGTTGAACCTTCCGTTTCATAGAGCAGGTTGGAAACACTCTTATTGTAGTATCTGGAAGTGGACATTTGGAGCGCTTTCAGGCCTATGGTGAAAAAGGAAATATCTTCCCATAAAAACGACATAGAAGCTATCTCAGGAACTTGTTTATGATGCATCTAATCAACTAACAGTGTTGAACCTTTGTACTGACAGAGCAGTTTGAAACACTTTTTTTTTGGAATCTGCAAGTGGATATTTGGATCACTTTGAGGATTTCGTTGGAAACGGGAGGCAATATAAAACGTACACAGCAGCATACTCAGAAAATACTTTGCCATGTTTCCATTCAAGTCACAGAGTGGAACATTCCCATTCATAGAGCAGGTTGGAAACACTCTTTTTGGAGTATCTGGAAGTGGACATTTGGAGCGCTTTCTGAACTATGGTGAAAAAGGAAATATCTTCCAATGAAAACAAGACAGAAGCATTCTGAGAAACTTATTTGTGATGTGTGTCCTCAACAAACGGACTTGAACCTTTCGTTTCATGCAGTACTTCTGGAACACTCTTTTTGAAGATTCTGCATGCGGATATTTGGATAGCTTTGAGGATTTCGTTGGAAACGGGCTTACATGTAAAAATTAGACAGCAGCATTCTCAGAAACTTCTTTGTGGTGTCTGCATTCAAGTCACAGAATTTAACTTCCCCTCACATAGAGCAGTTGTGCAGCACTCTATTTGTAGTATCTGGAAGTGGACATTTGGAGGGCTTTGTAGCCTATCTGGAAAAAGGAAATATCTTCCCATGAATGCGAGATAGAAGTAATCTCAGAAACATGTTCATGCTGTATCTAATCAACTAACTGTGCTGAACATTTCTATTGATAGAGCAGTTTTGAGACACTCTTCTTTTGGAATCTGCAAGTGGATATTTGGATAGATTTGAGGATTTCGTTGGAAACGGGATTATATATAAAAAGTAGACAGCAGCATTCTCAGAAACTTCTTTGTGATGTTTGCATCCAGCTCTCAGAGTTGAACATTCCCTTTCATAGAGTAGGTTTGAAACCCTCTTTTTATAGTGTCTGGAAGCGGGCATTTGGAGCGCTTTCAGGCCTATGCTTAAAATAGGAAATATCTACCTACAGAAACTAGACAGAAGCATTCTGAGAATCACGTTTGTGATGTGGGTACTCAACTAACAGTGTTGATCCATTCTTTTGATACAGCAGTTTTGAACCACACTTTTTGTAGAATCTGCAAGTGGATATTTGGATAGCTGTGAGGATTTCGTTGGAAACGGGAATGTCTTCATAGAAAATGTAGACAGAAGCATTCTCAGAACCTTGATTGTGATGTGTGTTCTCCACTAACAGAGTTGAACCTTTCTTTTGACAGAACTGTTCTGAAACATTCTTTTTATAGAATCTGGAAGTGGATATTTGGAAAGCTTTGAGGATTTCGTTGGAAACGGGAATATCTTCAAATAAAATCTAGCCAGAAGCATTCTAAGAAACATCTTAGGGATGTTTACATTCAAGTCACAGAGTTGAACATTCCCTTTCACAGAGCAGGTTTGAAACAATCTTCTCGTACTATCTGGCAGTGGACATTTTGAGCTCCTTGGGGCCTATGCTGAAAAAGGAAATATCTTCCGACAAAAACTAGACAGAAGCATTCGCAGAATCACGTTTGTGATGTGTGCACTCAACTGTCAGAATTGAACCTTGGTTTGGACAGAGCACTTTTGAAACACTCTTTTTGTAGAATCTGCAGGTGGATATTTGGCTAGCTTTGAGGATTTCGTTGGAAACGGTAATGTCTTCAAAGAAAATCTAGACAGAAGCATTCTCAGAAACACCTTCGTGATGTTTGCAATCAAGTCACAGAGTTGAACCTTCCGTTTCATAGAGCAGGTTGGAAACACTCTTATTGTAGTATCTGGAAGTGGACATTTGGAGCGCTTTCAGGCCTATGGTGAAAAAGGAAATATCTTCCCATAAAAACGACATAGAAGCTATCTCAGGAACTTGTTTATGATGCATCTAATCAACTAACAGTGTTGAACCTTTGTACTGACAGAGCAGTTTGAAACACTCTTTTTTTGGAATCTCCAAGTGGATATTTGGATCGCTTTGAGGATTTCGTTGGAAACGGGATGCAATATAAAACGTACACAGCAGCATACTCAGAAAATACTTTGCCATATTTCCATTCAAGTCACAGAGTGGAACATTCCCATTCATAGAGCAGGTTTGAAACACTCTTTTTGGAGTATCTGGAAGTGGACATTTGGAGCGCTTTCTGAACTATGGTGAAAAAGGAAATATCTTCCAATGAAAACAAGACAGAAGCATTCTGAGAAACTTATTTGTGATGTGTGTCCTCAACAAACGGACTTGAACCTTTCGTTTCATGCAGTACTTCTGGAACACTCTTTTTGAAGATTCTGCATGCGGATATTTGGATAGCTTTGAGGATTTCGTTGGAAACGGGCTTACATATAAAAATTAGACAGCAGCATTCTCAGAAACTTCTTTGTGGTGTCTGCATTCAAGTCACAGAATTGAACTTCCCCTCACATAGAGCAGTTGTGCAGCACTCTATTTGTAGTATCTGGAAGTGGACATTTGGAGGGCTTTGTAGCCTATCTGGAAAAAGGAAATATCTTCCCATGAATGCGAGATAGAAGTAATCTCAGAAACATGTTTATGCTGTATCTACTCAACTAACTGTGCTGAACATTTCTATTGATAGAGCAGTTTTGAGACACTCTTCTTTTGGAATCTGCAAGTGGATATTTGGATAGATTTGAGGATTTCGTTGGAAACGGGATTATATATAAAAAGTAGACAGCAGCATTCTCAGAAACTTCTTTGTGATGTTTGCATCCAGCTCTCAGAGTTGAACATTCCCTTTCATAGAGTAGGTTTGAAACCCTCTTTTTATAGTGTCTGGAAGCGGGCATTTGGAGCGCTTTCAGGCCTATGCTTAAAATAGGAAATATCTACCTACAGAAACTAGACAGAAGCATTCTGAGAATCACGTTTGTGATGTGGGTACTCAACTAACAGTGTTGATCCATTCTTTTGATACAGCAGTTTTGAACCACACTTTTTGTAGAATCTGCAAGTGGATATTTGGATAGCTGTGAGGATTTCGTTGGAAACGGGAATGTCTTCATAGAAAATGTAGACAGAAGCATTCTCAGAACCTTGATTGTGATGTGTGTTCTCCACTAACAGGGTTGAACCTTTCTTTTGACAGAACTGTTCTGAAACATTCTTTGTATAGAATCTGGAAGTGGATATTTGGAAAGCTTTGAGGATTTCGTTTGAAACGGGAATATCTTCAAATCAAATCTAGCCAGAAGCATTCTAAGAAACATCTTAGGGATGTTTACATTCAAGTCACAGAGTTGAACATTCCCTTTCACAGAGCAGGTTTGAAACAATCTTCTCGTACTATCTGGCAGTGGACATTTTGAGCTCCTTGGGGCCTATGCTGAAAAAGGAAATATCTTCCGACAAAAACTAGACAGAAGCATTCGCAGAATTCACGTTTGTGATGTGTGCACTCAACTGTCAGAATTGAACCTTGGTTTGGACAGAGCACTTTTGAAACACTCTTTTTGTAGAATCTGCAGGTGGATATTTGGCTAGCTTTGAGGATTTCGTTGGAAACGGTAATGTCTTCAAAGAAAATCTAGACAGAAGCATTCTCAGAAACACCTTCGTGATGTTTGCAATCAAGTCACAGAGTTGAACCTTCCGTTTCATAGAGCAGGTTGGAAACACTCTTTTTGTAGTATCTGGAAGTGGACATTTGGAGGGCTTTGTAGCCTATCTGGAAAAAGGAAATATCTTCCCATGAATGCGAGATAGAAGTAATCTCAGAAACATGTTTATGCTGTATCTACTCAACTAACTGTGCTGAACATTTCTATTGATAGAGCAGTTTTGAGACACTCTTCTTTTGGAATCTGCAAGTGGATATTTGGATAGATTTGAGGATTTCGTTGGAAACGGGATTATATATAAAAAGTAGACAGCAAGCATTCTCAGAAACTTCTTTGTGATGTTTGCATCCAGCTCTCAGAGTTGAACATTCCCTTTCATAGAGTAGGTTTGAAACCCTCTTTTTATAGTGTCTGGAAGCGGGCATTTGGAGCGCTTTCAGGCCTATGCTGAAAAAGGAAATATCTACCTATAGAAACTAGACAGAAGCATTCTGAGAATCACGTTTGTGATGTGGGTACTCAACTAACAGTGTTGATCCATTCTTTTGATACAGCAGTTTTGAACCACACTTTTTGTAGAATCTGCAAGTGGATATTTGGATAGCTGTGAGGATTTCGTTGGAAACGGGAATGTCTTCATAGAAAATTAGACAGAAGCATTCTCAGAACCTTGATTGTGATGTGTGTTCTCCACTAACAGAGTTGAACCTTTCTTTTGACAGAACTGTTCTGAAACATTCTTTTTATAGAATCTGGAAGTGGATATTTGGAAAGCTTTGAGGATTTCGTTGGAAACGGGAATATCTTCAAATAAAATCTAGCCAGAAAGCATTCTAAGAAACATCTTAGGGATGTTTACATTCAAGTCACAGAGTTGAACATTCCCTTTCACAGAGCAGGTTTGAAACAATCTTCTCGTACTATCTGGCAGTGGACATTTTGAGCTCCTTGGGGCCTATGCTGAAAAAGGAAATATCTTCCGACAAAAACTAGACAGAAGCATTCGCAGAATCACGTTTGTGATGTGTGCACTCAACTGTCAGAATTGAACCTTGGTTTGGACAGAGCACTTTTGAAACACTCTTTTTGTAGAATCTGCAGGTGGATATTTGGCTAGCTTTGAGGATTTCGTTGGAAACGGTAATGTCTTCAAAGAAAATCTAGACAGAAGCATTCTCAGAAACACCTTCGTGATGTTTGCAATCAAGTCACAGAGTTGAACCTTCCGTTTCATAGAGCAGGTTGGAAACACTCTTATTGTAGTATCTGGAAGTGGACATTTGGAGCGCTTTCAGGCCTATGGTGAAAAAGGAAATATCTTCCCATAAAAACGACATAGAAAGCTGTCTCAGGAACTTGTTTATGATGCATCTAATCAACTAACAGTGTTGAACCTTTGTACTGACAGAGCAGTTTGAAACACTCTTTTTTTGGAATCTGCAAGTGGATATTTGGATCGCTTTGAGGATTTCGTTGGAAACGGGATGCAATATAAAACGTACACAGCAGCATACTCAGAAAATACTTTGCCATATTTCCATTCAAGTCACAGAGTGGAACATTCCCATTCATAGAGCAGGTTGGAAACACTCTTTTTGGCGTATCTGGAAGTGGACATTTGGAGCGCTTTCTGAACTATGGTGAAAAAGGAAATATCTTCCAATGAAAACAAGACAGAAGCATTCTGAGAAACTTATTTGTGATGTGTGTCCTCAACAAACGGACTTGAACCTTTCGTTTCATGCAGTACTTCTGGAACACTCTTTTTGAAGATTCTGCATGCGGATATTTGGATAGCTTTGAGGATTTCGTTGGAAACGGGCTTACATGTAAAAATTAGACAGCAGCATTCTCAGAAACTTCTTTGTGGTGTCTGCATTCAAGTCACAGAATTGAACTTCCCCTCACATAGAGCAGTTGTGCAGCACTCTATTTGTAGTATCTGGAAGTGGACATTTGGAGGGCTTTGTAGCCTATCTGGAAAAAGGAAATATCTTCCCATGAATGCGAGATAGAAGTAATCTCAGAAACATGTTTATGCTGTATCTACTCAACTAACTGTGCTGAACATTTCTATTGATAGAGCAGTTTTGAGACACTCTTCTTTTGGAATCTGCAAGTGGATATTTGGATAGATTTGAGGATTTCGTTGGAAACGGGATTATATATAAAAAGTAGACAGCAGCATTCTCAGAAACTTCTTTGTGATGTTTGCATCCAGCTCTCAGAGTTGAACATTCCCTTTCATAGAGTAGGTTTGAAACCCTCTTTTTATAGTGTCTGGAAGCGGGCATTTGGAGCGCTTTCAGGCCTATGCTGAAAAAGGAAATATCTACGTATAGAAACTAGACAGAAGCATTCTGAGAATCACGTTTGTGATGTGGGTACTCAACTAACAGTGTTGATCCATTCTTTTGATACAGCAGTTTTGAACCACACTTTTTGTAGAATCTGCAAGTGGATATTTGGATAGCTGTGAGGATTTCGTTGGAAACGGGAATGTCTTCATAGAAAATTTAGACAGAAGCATTCTCAGAACCTTGATTGTGATGTGTGTTCTCCACTAACAGAGTTGAACCTTTCTTTTGACAGAACTGTTCTGAAACATTCTTTTTATAGAATCTGGAAGTGGATATTTGGAAAGCTTTGAGGATTTCGTTGGAAACGGGAATATCTTCAAATCAAATCTAGCCAGAAGCATTCTAAGAAACATCTTAGGGATGTTTACATTCAAGTCACAGAGTTGAACATTCCCTTTCACAGAGCAGGTTTGAAACAATCTTCTCGTACTATCTGGCAGTGGACATTTTGAGCTCCTTGGGGCCTATGCTGAAAAAGGAAATATCTTCCGACAAAAACTAGACAGAAGCATTCGCAGAATCACGTTTGTGATGTGTGCACTCAACTGTCAGCATTGAACCTTGGTTTGGACAGAGCACTTTTGAAACACACTTTTTGAAGGATCTGCAGGTGGATATTTGGCTAGCTTTGAGGATTTCGTTGGAAACGGTAATGTCTTCAAAGAAAATCTAGACAGAAACATTCTCAGAAACACCTTCGTGATGTTTGCAATCAAGTCACAGAGTTGAACCTTCCGTTTCATAGAGCAGGTTGGAAACACTCTTTTTGTAGTATCTGGAAGTGGACATTTGGAGTGCTTTCAGGCCTCTGGTGAAAAAGGAAATATCTTCCCATAAAAACGACATAGAAGCTATCTCAGGAACTTGTTTATGATGCATCTAATCAACTAACAGTGTTGAACCTTTGTACTGACAGAGCAGTTTGAAACACTCTTTTTTTGGAATCTGCAAGTGGATATTTGGATCGCTTTGTGGATTTCGTTGGAAACGGGATGCAATATAAAACGTGCACAGCAGCATACTCAGAAAATACTTTGCCATATTTCCATTCAAGTCACAGAGTGGAACATTCCCATTCATAGAGCAGGTTGGAAACACTCTTTTTGGAGTATCTGGAAGTGGACATTTGGAGCGCTTTCTGAACTATGGTGAAAAAGGAAATATCTTCCAATGAAAACAAGACAGAAGCATTCTGAGAAACTTATTTGTGATGTCTGTCCTCAACAAACGGACTTGAACCTTTCGTTTCATGCAGTACTTCTGGAACACTCTTTTTGAAGATTCTGCATGCGGATATTTGGATAGCTTTGAGGATTTCGTTGGAAACGGGCTTACATGTAAAAATTAGACAGCAGCATTCTCAGAAACTTCTTTGTGGTGTCTGCATTCAAGTCACAGAATTGAACTTCCCCTCACATAGAGCAGTTGTGCAGCACTCTATTTGTAGTATCTGGAAGTGGACATTTGGAGGGCTTTGTAGCCTATCTGGAAAAAGGAAATATCTTCCCATGAATGCGAGATAGAAGTAATCTCAGAAACATGTTTATGCTGTATCTACTCAACTAACTGTGCTGAACATTTCTATTGATAGAGCAGTTTTGAGACACTCTTCTTTTGGAATCTGCAAGTGGATATTTTGGGATAGATTTGAGGATTTCGTTGGAAACGGGATTATATATAAAAAGTAGACAGCAGCATTCTCAGAAACTTCTTTGTGATGTTTGCATCCAGCTCTCAGAGTTGAACATTCCCTTTCATAGAGTAGGTTTGAAACCCTCTTTTTATAGTGTCTGGAAGCGGGCATTTGGAGCGCTTTCAGGCCTATGCTGAAAAAGGAAATATCTACCTATAGAAACTAGACAGAAGCATTCTGAGAATCACGTTTGTGATGTGGGTACTCAACTAGCAGTGTTGATCCATTCTTTTGATACAGCAGTTTTGAACCACACTTTTTGTAGAATCTGCAAGTGGATATTTGGATAGCTGTGAGGATTTCGTTGGAAACGGGAATGTCTTCATAGAAAATTTAGACAGAAGCATTCTCAGAACCTTGATTGTGATGTGTGTTCTCCACTAACAGAGTTGAACCTTTCTTTTGACAGAACTGTTCTGAAACATTCTTTTTATAGAATCTGGAAGTGGATATTTTGAAAGCTTTGAGGATTTCATTGGAAACGGGAATATCTTCAAATAAAATCTAGCCAGAAGCATTCTAAGAAACATCTTAGGGATGTTTACATTCAAGTCACAGAGTTGAACATTCCCTTTCACAGAGCAGGTTTGAAACAATCTTCTCGTACTATCTGGCAGTGGACATTTTGAGCTCCTTGGGGCCTATGCTGAAAAAGGAAATATCTTCCGACAAAAACTAGACAGAAGCATTCGCAGAATCGCGTTTGTGATGTGTGCACTCAACTGTCAGAATTGAACCTTGGTTTGGACAGAGCACTTTTGAAACACTCTTTTTGTAGAATCTGCAGGTGGATATTTGGCTAGCTTTGAGGATTTCGTTGGAAACGGTAATGTCTTCAAAGAAAATCTAGACAGAAGCATTCTCAGAAACAACTTCGTGATGTTTGTAATCAAGTCACAGAGTTGAACCTTCCGTTTCATAGAGCAGGTTGGAAACACACTTTTTGTAGTATCTGGAAGTGGACATTTGGAGGGCTTTGTAGCCTATCTGGAAAAAGGAAATATCTTCCCATGAATGCGAGATAGAAGTAATCTCAGAAACATGTTTATGCTGTATCTACTCAACTAACTGTGCTGAACATTTCTATTGATAGAGCAGTTTTGAGACACTCTTCTTTTGGAATCTGCAAGTGGATATTTGGATAGATTTGAGGATTTCGTTGGAAACGGGATTATATATAAAAAGTAGACAGCAGCATTCTCAGAAACTTCTTTGTGATGTTTGCATCCAGCTCTCAGAGTTGAACATTCCCTTTCATAGAGTAGGTTTGAAACCCTCTTTTTATAGTGTCTGGAAGCGGGCATTTGGAGCGCTTTCAGGCCTATGCTTAAAATAGGAAATATCTACGTACAGAAACTAGACAGAAGCATTCTGAGAATCACGTTTGTGATGTGGGTACTCAACTAACAGTGTTGATCCATTCTTTTGATACAGCAGTTTTGAACCACACTTTTTGTAGAATCTGCAAGAGGATATTTGGATAGCTGTGAGGATTTCGTTGGAAACGGGAATGTCTTCAAAGAAAATCTAGACAGAAGCATTCTCAGAAACACCTTCGTGATGTTTGCAATCAAGTCACAGAGTTGAACCTTCCGTTTCATAGAGCAGGTTGGAAACACTCTTATTGTAGTATCTGGAAGTGGACATTTGGAGCGCTTTCAGGCCTATGGTGAAAAAGGAAATATCTTCCCATAAAAACGATATAGAAGCTATCTCAGGAACTTGTTTATGATGCATCTAATCAACTAACAGTGTTGAACCTTTGTACTGACAGAGCAGTTTGAAACACTCTTTTTTTGGAATCTGCAAGTGGATATTTGGATCGCTTTGAGGATTTCGTTGGAAACGGGATGCAATATAAAACGTACACAGCAGCATACTCAGAAAATACTTTGCCATATTTCCATTCAAGTCACAGAGTGGAACATTCCCATTCATAGAGCAGGTTGGAAACACTCCTTTTGTAGTATCTGGAAGTGGACATTTGGAGCGCTTTCTGAACTATGGTGAAAGAGGAAATATACTTCCAATGAAAACAAGACAGAAGCATTCTGAGTAAACTTCTTTGTGATGTGTGTCCTCAACAAACGGACTTGAACCTTTCGTTTCATGCAGTACTTCTGGAACACTCTTTTTGAAGATTCTGCATGCGGATATTTGGATAGCTTTGAGGATTTCGTTGGAAACGGGCTTACATGTAAAAATTAGACAGCAGCATTCTCAGAAACTTCTTTGTGGTGTCTGCATTCAAGTCACAGAATTGAACATCCCCTCACATAGAGCAGTTGTGCAGCACTCTATTTGTAGTATCTGGAAGTGGACATTTGGAGGGCTTTGTAGCCTATCGGGAAAAAGGAAATATCTTCCCATGAATGCGAGATAGAAGTAATCTCAGAAACATGTTTATGCTGTATCTACTCAACTAACTGTGCTGAACATTTCTATTGATAGAGCAGTTTTGAGACACTCTTCTTTTGGAATCTGCAAGTGGATATTTGGATAGATTTGAGGATTTCGTTGGAAACGGGATTATATATAAAAAGTAGACAGCAGCATTCTCAGAAACTTCTTTGTGATGTTTGCATCCAGCTCTCAGAGTTGAACATTCCCTTTCATAGAGTAGGTTTGAAACCCTCTTTTTATAGTGTCTGGAAGCGGGCATTTGGAGCGCTTTCAGGCCTATGCTTAAAATAGGAAATATCTACCCAGAGAAACTAGACAGAAGCATTCTGAGAATCACGTTTGTGATGTGGGTACTCAACTAACAGTGTTGATCCATTCTTTTGATACAGCAGTTTTGAACCACACTTTTTGTAGAATCTGCAAGAGGATATTTGGATAGCTGTGAGGATTTCGTTGGAAACGGGAATGTCTTCAAAGAAAATCTAGACAGAAGCATTCTCAGAAACACCTTCGTGATGTTTGCAATCAAGTCACAGAGTTGAACCTTCCGTTTCATAGAGTAGGTTGGAAACACTCTTATTGTAGTATCTGGAAGTGGACATTTGGAGCGCTTTCAGGCCTATGGTGAAAAAGGAAATATCTTCCCATAAAAACGACATAGAAGCTATCTCAGGAACTTGTTTATGATGCATCTACTCAACTAACAGTGTTGAACCTTTGTACTGACAGAGCAGTTTGAAACACTCTTTTTTTGGAATCTGCAAGTGGATATTTGGATCGCTTTGAGGATTTCGTTGGAAACGGGATGCAATATAAAACGTACACAGCAGCATACTCAGTAAAATACTTTGCCATATTTCCATTCAAGTCACAGAGTGGAACATTCCCATTCATAGAGCAGGTTTGAAACACTCTTTTTGGAGTATCTGGAAGTGGACATTTGGAGCGCTTTCTGAACTATGGTGAAAAAGGAAATATCTTCCAATGAAAACAAGACAGAAGCATTCTGAGAAACTTATTTGTGATGTGTGTCCTCAACAAACGGACTTGAACCTTTCGTTTCATGCAGTACTTCTGGAACACTCTTTTTGAAGATTCTGCATGCGGATATTTGGATAGCTTTGAGGATTTCGTTGGAAACGGGCTTACATGTAAAAATTAGACAGCAGCATTCTCAGAAACTTCTTTGTGGTGTCTGCATTCAAGTCACAGAATTGAACTTCCCCCTCACATAGAGCAGTTGTGCAGCACTCTATTTGTAGTATCTGGAAGTGGACATTTGGAGGGCTTTGTAGCCTATCTGGAAAAAGGAAATATCTTCCCATGAATGCGAGATAGAAGTAATCTCAGAAACATGTTTATGCTGTATCTACTCAACTAACTATGCTGAACATTTCTATTGATAGAGCAGTTTTGAGACACTCTTCTTTTGGAATCTGCAAGTGGATATTTGGATAGATTTGAGGATTTCCTTGGAAACGGGATTATATATAAAAAGTAGACAGCAGCATTCTCAGAAACTTCTTTGTGATGTTTGCATCCAGCTCTCAGAGTTGAACATTCCCTTTCGTAGAGTAGGTTTGAAACCCTCTTTTTATAGTGTCTGGAAGCGGGCATTTGGAGCGCTTTCAGGCCTATGCTGAAAAAGGAAATATCTACCTATAGAAACTAGACAGAAGCATTCTGAGAATCACGTTTGTGATGTGGGTACTCAACTAACAGTGTTGATCCATTCTTTTGATACAGCAGTTTTGAACCACACTTTTTGTAGAATCTGCAAGTGGATATTTGGATAGCTGTGAGGATTTCCTTGGAAACGGGAATGTCTTCATAGAAAATTTAGACAGAAGCATTCTCAGAACCTTGATTGTGATGTGTGTTCTCCACTAACAGGGTTGAACCTTTCTTTTGACAGAACTGTTCTGAAACATTCTTTGTATAGAATCTGGAAGTGGATATTTGGAAAGCTTTGAGGATTTCGTTTGAAACGGGAATATCTTCAAATCAAATCTAGCCAGAAGCATTCTAAGAAACATCTTAGGGATGTTTACATTCAAGTCACAGAGTTGAACATTCCCTTTCACAGAGCAGGTTTGAAACAATCTTCTCGTACTATCTGGCAGTGGACATTTTGAGCTCCTTGGGGCCTATGCTGAAAAAGGAAATATCTTCCGACAAAAACTAGACAGAAGCATTCGCAGAATCACGTTTGTGATGTGTGCACTCAACTGTCAGAATTGAACCTTGGTTTGGACAGAGCACTTTTGAAACACTCTTTTTGTAGAATCTGCAGGTGGATATTTGGCTAGCTTTGAGGATTTCGTTGGAAACGGTAATGTCTTCAAAGAAAATCTAGACAGAAGCATTCTCAGAAACACCTTCGTGATGTTTGCAATCAAGTCACAGAGTTGAACCTTCCGTTTCATAGAGCAGGTTGGAAACACTCTTTTTGTAGTATCTGGAAGTGGACATTTGGAGGGCTTTGTAGCCTATCTGGAAAAAGGAAATATCTTCCCATGAATGCGAGATAGAAGTAATCTCAGAAACATGTTTATGCTGTATCTACTCAACTAACTGTGCTGAACATTTCTATTGATAGAGCAGTTTTGAGACACTCTTCTTTTGGAATCTGCAAGTGGATATTTGGATAGATTTGAGGATTTCGTTGGAAACGGGATTATATATAAAAAGTAGACAGCAGCATTCTCAGAAACTTCTTTGTGATGTTTGCATCCAGCTCTCAGAGTTGAACATTCCCTTTCATAGAGTAGGTTTGAAACCCTCTTTTTATAGTGTCTGGAAGCGGGCATTTGGAGCGCTTTCAGGCCTATGCTTAAAATAGGAAATATCTACCTACAGAAACTAGACAGAAGCATTCTGAGAATCACGTTTGTGATGTGGGTACTCAACTAACAGTGTTGATCCATTCTTTTGATACAGCAGTTTTGAACCACACTTTTTGTAGAATCTGCAAGAGGATATTTGGATAGCTGTGAGGATTTCGTTGGAAACGGGAATGTCTTCAAAGAAAATCTAGACAGAAGCATTCTCAGAAATACCTTCGTGATGTTTGCAATCAAGTCACAGAGTTGAACCTTCCGTTTCATAGAGCAGGTTGGAAACACTCTTATTGTAGTATCTGGAAGTGGACATTTGGAGCGCTTTCAGGCCTATGGTGAAAAAGGAAATATCTTCCCATAAAAACGATATAGAAGCTATCTCAGGAACTTGTTTATGATGCATCTAATCAACTAACAGTGTTGAACCTTTGTACTGACAGAGCAGTTTGAAACACTCTTTTTTTGGAATCTGCAAGTGGATATTTGGATCGCTTTGAGGATTTCGTTGGAAACGGGATGCAATATAAAACGTACACAGCAGCATACTCAGAAAATACTTTGCCATATTTCCATTCAAGTCACAGAGTGGAACATTCCCATTCATAGAGCAGGTTGGAAACACTCTTTTTGGAGTATCTGGAAGTGGACATTTGGAGCGCTTTCTGAACTATGGTGAAAAAGGAAATATCTTCCAATGAAAACAAGACAGAAGCATTCTGAGAAACTTATTTGTGATGTGTGTCCTCAACAAACGGACTTGAACCTTTCGTTTCATGCAGTACTTCTGGAACACTCTTTTTGAAGATTCTGCATGCGGATATTTGGATAGCTTTGAGGATTTCGTTGGAAACGGGCTTACATGTAAAAATTAGACAGCAGCATTCTCAGAAACTTCTTTGTGGTGTCTGCATTCAAGTCACAGAATTGAACTTCCCCTCACATAGAGCAGTTGTGCAGCACTCTATTTGTAGTATCTGGAAGTGGACATTTGGAGGGCTTTGTAGCCTATCTGGAAAAAGGAAATATCTTCCCATGAATGCGAGATAGAAGTAATCTCAGAAACATGTTTATGCTGTATCTACTCAACTAACTGTGCTGAACATTTCTATTGATAGAGCAGTTTTGAGACACTCTTCTTTTGGAATCTGCAAGTGGATATTTGGATAGATTTGAGGATTTCGTTGGAAACGGGATTATATATAAAAAGTAGACAGCAGCATTCTCAGAAACTTCTTTGTGATGTTTGCATCCAGCTCTCAGAGTTGAACATTCCCTTTCATAGAGTAGGTTTGAAACCCTCTTTTTATAGTGTCTGGAAGCGGGCATTTGGAGCGCTTTCAGGCCTATGCTGAAAAAGGAAATATCTACCTATAGAAACTAGACAGAAGCATTCTGAGAATCACGTTTGTGATGTGGGTACTCAACTAACAGTGTTGATCCATTCTTTTGATACAGCAGTTTTGAACCACACTTTTTGTAGAATCTGCAAGTGGATATTTGGATAGCTGTGAGGATTTCGTTGGAAACGGGAATGTCTTCATAGAAAATTTAGACAGAAGCATTCTCAGAACCTTGATTGTGATGTGTGTTCTCCACTAACAGAGTTGAACCTTTCTTTTGACAGAACTGTTCTGAAACATTCTTTTTATAGAATCTGGAAGTGGATATTTGGAAAGCTTTGAGGATTTCGTTGGAAACGGGAATATCTTCAAATCAAATCTAGCCAGAAGCATTCTAAGAAACAGCTTAGGGATGTTTACATTCAAGTCACAGAGTTGAACATTCCCTTTCACAGAGCAGGTTTGAAACAATCTTCTCGTACTATCTGGCAGTGGACATTTTGAGCTCCTTGGGGCCTATGCTGAAAAAGGAAATATCTTCCGACAAAAACTAGACAGAAGCATTCGCAGAATCACGTTTGTGATGTGTGCACTCAACTGTCAGAATTGAACCTTTGTTTGGACAGAGCACTTTTGAAACACTCTTTTTGTAGAATCTGCAGGTGGATATTTGGCTAGCTTTGAGGATTTCGTTGGAAACGGTAATGTCTTCAAAGAAAATCTAGACAGAAACATTCTCAGAAACACCTTCGTGATGTTTGCAATCAAGTCACAGAGTTGAACCTTCCGTTTCATAGAGCAGGTTGGAAACACTCTTTTTGTAGTATCTGGAAGTGGACATTTGGAGCGCTTTCAGGCCTATGGTGAAAAAGGAAATATCTTCCCATAAAAACGACATAGAAGCTATCTCAGGAACTTGTTTATGATGCATCCAATCAACTAACAATGTTGAACCTTTGTACTGACAGAGCAGTGTGAAACACTCTTTTTTTTGGAATCTGCAAGTGGATATTTGGATCGCTTTGAGGATTTCGTTGGAAACGGGATGCAATATAAAACGTACACAGCAGCATACTCAGAAAATACTTTGCCATATTTCCATTCAAGTCACAGAGTGGAACATTCCCATTCATAGAGCAGGTTTGACACACTCTTTTTGTAGTATCTGGAAGTGGACATTTGGAGCGCTTTCTGAACTATGGTGAAAAAGGAAATATCTTCCAATGAAAACAAGACAGAAGCATTCTGAGAAACTTATTTGTGATGTGTGTCCTCAACTAACGGACTTGAACCTTTCGTTTCATGCAGTACTTCTGGAACACTCTTTTTGAAGATTCTGCATGCGGATATTTGGATAGCTTTGAGGATTTCGTTGGAAACGGGCTTACATATAAAAACTAGACAGCAGCATTCTCAGAAACTTCTCTGTGGTGTCTGCATCCAAGTCACAGAATTGAACATCCCCTCACATAGAGCAGTTGTGCAGCACTCTATTTGTAGTATCTCGAAGTGGACATTTGGAGGGCTTTGTAGCCTATCTGGAAAAAGGAAATATCTTCCCATGAATGCGAGATAGAAGTAATCTCAGAAACATGTTTATGCTGTATCTACTCAACTAACTGTGCTGAACATTTCTATTGATAGAGCAGTTTTGAGACACTCTTCCTTTGGAATCTGCAAGTGGATATTTGGAAAGATTTGAGGATTTCGTTGGCAACGGGATTATATATAAAAAGTAGACAGCAGCATTCTCAGAAACTTCTTTGTGATGTTTGCATCCAGCTCTCAGAGTTGAACATTCCCTTTCATAGAGTAGGTTTGAAACCCTCTTTTTATAGTGTCTGGAAGCGGGCATTTGGAGCGCTTTCAGGCCTATGCTGAAAAAGGAAATATCTACCTATAGAAACTAGACAGAAGCATTCTGAGAATCACGTTTGTGATGTGGGTACTCAACTAACAGTGTTGATCCATTCTTTTGATACAGCAGTTTTGAACCACACTTTTTGTAGAATCTGCAAGTGGATATTTGGAAAGCTTTGAGGATTTCGTTGGAAACGGGAATGTCTTCATAGAAAATTTAGACGGAAGCATTCTCAGAACCTTGATTGTGATGTGTGTTCTCCACTAACAGAGTTGAACCTTTCTTTTGACAGAACTGTTCTGAAACATTCTTTTTATAGAATCTGGAAGTGGATATTTGGAAAGCTTTGAGGATTTCGTTGGAAACGGGAATATCTTCAAATCAAATCTAGCCAGAAGCATTCTAAGAAACATCTTAGGGATGTTTACATTCAAGTCACAGAGTTGAACATTCCCTTTCACAGAGCAGGTTTGAAACAATCTTCTCGTACTATCTGGCAGTGGACATTTTGAGCTCCTTGGGGCCTATGCTGAAAAAGGAAATATCTTCCGACAAAAACTAGACAGAAGCATTCGCAGAATCACGTTTGTGATGTGTGCACTCAACTGTCAGAATTGAACCTTGGTTTGGACAGAGCACTTTTGAAACACTCTTTTTGTAGAATCTGCAGGTGGATATTTGGCTAGCTTTGAGGATTTCGTTGGAAACGGTAATGTCTTCAAAGAAAATCTAGACAGAAGCATTCTCAGAAACACCTTCGTGATGTTTGCAATCAAGTCACAGAGTTGAACCTTCCGTTTCATAGAGCAGGTTGGAAACACTCTTTTTGTAGTATCTGGAAGTGGACATTTGGAGGGCTTTGTAGCCTATCTGGAAAAAGGAAATATCTTCCCATGAATGCGAGATAGAAGCTATCTCAGGAACTTGTTTATGATGCATCTAATCAACTAACAGTGTTGAACCTTTGTACTGACAGAGCAGTTTGAAACACTCTTTTTTTGGAATCTGCAAGTGGATATTTGGATCGCTTTGAGGATTTCGTTGGAAACTGGATGCAATATAAAACGTACACAGCAGCATACTCAGAAAATACTTTGCCATATTTCCATTCAAGTCACAGAGTGGAACATTCCCATTCATAGAGCAGGTTTGAAACACTCTTTTTGGAGTATCTGGAAGTGGACATTTGGAGCGCTTTCTGAACTATGGTGAAAAAGGAAATATCTTCCAATGAAAACAAGACAGAAGCATTCTGAGAAACTTATTTGTGATGTGTGTCCTCAACAAACGGACTTGAACCTTTCGTTTCATGCAGTACTTCTGGAACACTCTTTTTGAAGATTCTGCATGCGGATATTTGGATAGCTTTGAGGATTTCGTTGGAAACGGGCTTACATGTAAAAATTAGACAGCAGCATTCTCAGAAACTTCTTTGTGGTGTCTGCATTCAAGTCACAGAATTGAACTTCCCCTCACATAGAGCAGTTGTGCAGCACTCTATTTGTAGTATCTGGAAGTGGACATTTGGAGGGCTTTGTAGCCTATCTGGAAAAAGGAAATATCTTCCCATGAATGCGAGATAGAAGTAATCTCAGAAACATGTTTATGCTGTATCTACTCAACTAACTGTGCTGAACATTTCTATTGATAGAGCAGTTTTGAGACACTCTTCTTTTGGAATCTGCAAGTGGATATTTGGATAGATTTGAGGATTTCGTTGGAAACGGGATTATATATAAAAAGTAGACAGCAGCATTCTCAGAAACTTCTTTGTGATGTTTGCATCCAGCTCTCAGAGTTGAACATTCCCTTTCATAGAGTAGGTTTGAAACCCTCTTTTTATAGTGTCTGGAAGCGGGCATTTGGAGCGCTTTCAGGCCTATGCTGAAAAAGGAAATATCTACCTATAGAAACTAGACAGAAGCATTCTGAGAATCACGTTTGTGATGTGGGTACTCAACTAACAGTGTTGATCCATTCTTTTGATACAGCAGTTTTGAACCACACTTTTTGTAGAATCTGCAAGTGGATATTTGGATAGCTGTGAGGATTTCGTTGGAAACGGGAATGTCTTCATAGAAAATTTAGACAGAAGCATTCTCAGAACCTTGATTGTGATGTGTGTTCTCCACTAACAGAGTTGAACCTTTCTTTTGACAGAACTGTTCTGAAACATTCTTTTTATAGAATCTGGAAGTGGATATTTGGAAAGCTTTGAGGATTTCGTTGGAAACGGGAATATCTTCAAATAAAATCTAGCCAGAAGCATTCTAAGAAACATCTTAGGGATGTTTACATTCAAGTCACAGAGTTGAACATTCCCTTTCACAGAGCAGGTTTGAAACAATCTTCTCGTACTATCTGGCAGTGGACATTTTGAGCTCCTTGGGGCCTATGCTGAAAAAGGAAATATCTTCCGACAAAAACTAGACAGAAGCATTCGCAGAATCACGTTTGTGATGTGTGCACTCAACTGTCGGAATTGAAACTTTGTTTGGACAGAGCACTTTTGAAACACTCTTTTTGTAGAATCTGCAGGTTTATATTTGACTAGCTTTGAGGATTTCGTTGGAAACGGTAATGTCTTCAAAGAAAATCTAGACAGAAACATTCTCAGAAACACCTTCGTGATGTTTGCAATCAAGTCACAGAGTTGAACCTTCCGTTTCATAGAGCAGGTTGGAAACACTCTTTTTGTAGTATCTGGAAGTGGACATTTGGAGCGCTTTCAGGCCTATGCTGAAAAAGGAAATATCTTCCCATAAAAACGACATAGAAGCTATCTCAGGAACTTGTTTATGATGCATCCAATCAACTAACAGTGTTGAACGTTTGTACTGACAGAGCAGTGTGAAACACTCTTTTTTTTGGAATCTGCAAGTGGATATTTGGATCGCTTTGAGGATTTCGTTGGAAACGGGATGCAATATAAAACGTACACAGCAGCATACTCAGAAAATACTTTGCCATATTTCCATTCAAGTCACAGAGTGTAACATTCCCATTCATAGAGCAGGTTTGACACACTCTTTTTGTAGTATCTGGAAGTGGACATTTGGAGCGCTTTCTGAACTATGGTGAAAAAGGAAATATCTTCCAATGAAAACAAGACAGAAGCATTCTGAGAAACTTATTTGTGATGTGTGTCCTCAACAAACGGACTTGAACCTTTCGTTTCATGCAGTACTTCTGGAACACTCTTTTTGAAGATTCTGCATGCGGATATTTGGATAGCTTTGAGGATTTCGTTGGAAACGGGCTTACATGTAAAAATTAGACAGCAGCATTCTCAGAAACTTCTTTGTGGTGTCTGCATTCAAGTCACAGAATTGAACTTCCCCTCACATAGAGCAGTTGTGCAGCACTCTATTTGTAGTATCTCGAAGTGGACATTTGGAGGGCTTTGTAGCCTATCTGGAAAAAGGAAATATCTTCCCATGAATGCGAGATAGAAGTAATCTCAGAAACATGTTTATGCTGTATCTACTCAACTAACTGTGCTGAACATTTCTATTGATAGAGCAGTTTTGAGACACTCTTCTTTTGGAATCTGCAAGTGGATATTTGGATAGATTTGAGGATTTCGTTGGAAACGGGATTATATATCAAAAGTAGACAGCAGCATTCTCAGAAACTTCTTTGTGATGTTTGCATCCAGCTCTCAGAGTTGAACATTCCCTTTCATAGAGTAGGTTTGAAACCCTCTTTTTATAGTGTCTGGAAGCGGGCATTTGGAGCGCTTTCAGGCCTATGCTGAAAAAGGAAATATCTACCTATAGAAACTAGACAGAAGCATTCTGAGAATCACGTTTGTGATGTGGGTACTCAACTAACAGTGTTGATCCATTCTTTTGATACAGCAGTTTTGAACCACACTTTTTGTAGAATCTGCAAGTGGATATTTGGATAGCTGTGAGGATTTCGTTGGAAACGGGAATGTCTTCATAGAAAATTTAGACAGAAGCATTCTCAGAACCTTGATTGTGATGTGTGTTCTCCACTAACAGGGTTGAACCTTTCTTTTGACAGAACTGTTCTGAAACATTCTTTTTATAGAATCTGGAAGTGGATATTTGGAAAGCTTTGAGGATTTCGTTGGAAACGGGAATATCTTCAAATCAAATCTAGCCAGAAGCATTCTAAGAAACATCTTAGGGATGTTTACATTCAAGTCACAGAGTTGAACATTCCCTTTCACAGAGCAGGTTTGAAACAATCTTCTCGTACTATCTGGCAGTGGACATTTTGAGCTCCTTGGGGCCTATGCTGAAAAAGGAAATATCTTCCGACAAAAACTAGACAGAAGCATTCGCAGAATCACGTTTGAGATGTGTGCACTCAACTGTCAGAATTGAACCTTGGTTTGGACAGAGCACTTTTGAAACACTCTTTTTGTAGAATCTGCAGGTGGATATTTGGCTAGCTTTGAGGATTTCGTTGGAAACGGTAATGTCTTCAAAGAAAATCTAGACAGAAGCATTCTCAGAAACACCTTCGTGATGTTTGCAATCAAGTCACAGAGTTGAACCTTCCGTTTCATAGAGCAGGTTGGAAACACTCTTATTGTAGTATCTGGAAGTGGACATTTGGAGCGCTTTCAGGCCTATGGTGAAAAAGGAAATATCTTCCCATAAAAACGACATAGAAGCTATCTCAGGAAATTGTTTATGATGCATCTAATCAACTAACAGTGTTGAACCTTTGTACTGACAGAGCACTTTGAAACACTCTTTTTTTGGAATCTGCAAGTGGATATTTGGATCGCTTTGAGGATTTCGTTGGAAACGGGATGCAATATAAAACGTACACAGCAGCATACTCAGAAAATACTTTGCCATATTTCCATTCAAGTCACAGAGTGGAACATTCCCATTCATAGAGCAGGTTGGAAACACTCTTTTTGGAGTATCTGGAAGTGGACATTTGGAGCGCTTTCTGAACTATGGTGAAAAAGGAAATATCTTCCAATGAAAACAAGACAGAAGCATTCTGAGAAACTTATTTGTGATGCGTGTCCTCAACTAACGGACTCGAAGCTTTCGTTTCATGCAGTACTTCTGGAACACTCTTTTTGAAGATTCTGCATGCGGATATTTGGATAGCTGTGAGGATTTCGTTGGAAACGGGCTTACATATAAAAATTAGACAGCAGCATTCTCAGAAACTTCTTTGTGGTGTCTGCATTCAAGTCACAGAATTGAACATCCCCTCACATAGAGCAGTTGTGTAGCACTCTATTTTTAGTATCTCGAAGTGGACATTTGGAGGGCTTTGTAGCCTATCTGGAAAAAGGAAATATCTTCCCATGAATGCGAGATAGAAGTAATCTCAGAAACATGTTTATGCTGTATCTACTAAACTAACTGTGCTGAACATTTCTATTGATAGAGCAGTTTTGAGACACTCTTCTTTTGGAATCTGCAAGTGGATATTTGGATAGATTTGAGGATTTCGTTGGAAACGTGATTACATATAAAATGCAGACAGCAGCATTCTCAGAAACTTCTTTGTGATGTTTGCATCCAGCTCTCAGAGTTGAACATTCCCTTTCATAGAGTAGGTTTGAAACCCTCTTTTTATAGTGTCTGGAAGCGGGCATTTGGAGCGCTTTCAGGCCTATGCTGAAAAAGGAAATATCTACCTATGGAAACTAGACAGAAGCATTCTGAGAATCACGTTTGTGATGTGGGTACTCAACTAACAGTGTTGATCCATTCTTTTGATACAGCAGTTTTGAACCACACTTTTTGTAGAATCTGCAAGTGGATATTTGGATAGCTGTGAGGATTTCGTTGGAAACGGGAATGTCTTCATAGAAAATTTAGACAGAAGCATTCTCAGAACCTTGATTGTGATGTGTGTTCTCCACTAACAGAGTTGAACCTTTCTTTTGACAGAACTGTTCTGAAACATTCTTTTTATAGAATCTGGAAGTGGATATTTGGAAAGCTTTGAGGATTTCGTTGGAAACGGGAATATCTTCAAATCAAATCTAGCCAGAAGCATTCTAAGAAACATCTTAGGGATGTTTACATTCAAGTCACAGAGTTGAACATTCCCTTTCACAGAGCAGGTTTGAAACAATCTTCTGGTACTATCTGGAAGTGGACATTTTGAGCTCCTTGGGGCCTATGCTGAAAAAGGAAATATCTTCCGACAAAAACTAGACAGAAGCATTCGCAGAATCACGTTTGTGATGTGTGCACTCAACTGTCAGAATTGAACCTTGGTTTGGACAGAGCACTTTTGAAACACTTTTTGTAGAATCTGCAGGTGGATATTTGGCTAGCTTTGAGGATTTCGTTGGAAACGGTAATGTCTTCAAAGAAAATCTAGACAGAAACATTCTCAGAAACACCTTCGTGATGTTTGCAATCAAGTCACAGAGTTGAACCTTCCGTTTCATAGGGCAGGTTGGAAACACTCTTTTTGTAGTATCTGGAAGTGGACATTTGGAGCGCTTTCAGGCCTATGGTGAAAAAGGAAATATCTTCCCATAAAAACGACATAGAAGCTATCTCAGGAACTTGTTTATGATGCATCCAATCAACTAACAGTGTTGAACTTTTGTACTGACAGAGCAGTGTGAAACACTCTTTTTTTTGGAATCTGCAAGTGGATATTTGGATCGCTTTGAGGATTTCGTTGGAAACGGGATGCAATATAAATCGTACACAGCAGCATACTCAGAAAATACTTTGCCATATTTCCATTCAAGTCACAGAGTGGAACATTCCCATTCATAGAGCAGGTTGGAAACACTCTTTTTGGAGTATCTGGAAGTGGACATTTGGAGCGCTTTCTGAACTATGGTGAAAAAGGAAATATCTTCCAATGAAAACAAGACAGAAGCATTCTGAGAAACTTATTTGTGATGTGTGTCCTCAACAAACGGACTTGAAACTTTCGTTTCATGCAGTACTTCTGGAACACTCTTTTTGAAGATTCTGCATGCGGATATTTGGATAGCTTTGAGGATTTCGTTGGAAACGGTCTTACATGTAAAAATTAGACAACAGCATTCTCAGAAACTTCTTTGTGGTGTCTGCATTCAAGTCACAGAATTGAACTTCCCCTCACATAGAGCAGTTGTGCAGCACTCTATTTGTAGTATCTGGAAGTGGACATTTGGAGGGCTTTGTAGCCTATCTGGAAAAAGGAATTATCTTCCCATGAATGCGAGATAGAAGTAATCTGAGAAACATGTTTATGCTGTATCTACTCAACTAACTGTGCTGAACATTTCTATTGATAGAGCAGTTTTGAGACCCTCTTCTTTTGGAATCTGCAAGTGGATATTTGGATAGATTTGAGGATTTCGTTGGAAACGGGATTATATATAAAAAGTAGACAGCAGCATTCTCAGAAACTTCTTTGTGATGTTTGCATCCAGCTCTCAGAGTTGAACATTCCCTTTCATAGAGTAGGTTTGAAACCCTCTTTTTATAGTGTCTGGAAGCGGGCATTTGGAGCGCTTTCAGGCCTATGCTGAAAAAGGAGATATCTACCTATAGAAACTAGACAGAAGCATTCTGAGAATCACGTTTGTGATGTGGGTACTCAACTAACAGTGTTGATCCATTCTTTTGATACAGCAGTTTTGAACCACACTTTTTGTAGAATCTGCAAGTGGATATTTGGATAGCTGTGAGGATTTCGTTGGAAACGGGAATGTCTTCATAGAAAATTTAGACAGAAACATTCTCAGAACCTTGATTGTGATGTGTGTTCTCCACTAACAGAGTTGAACCTTTCTTTTGACAGAACTGTTCTGAAACATTCTTTTTATAGAATCTGGAAGTGGATATTTGGAAAGCTTTGAGGATTTCGTTGGAAACGGGAATATCTTCAAATCAAATCTAGCCAGAAGCATTCTAAGAAACATCTTAGGGATGTTTACATTCAAGTCACAGAGTTGAACATTCCCTTTCACAGAGCAGGTTTGAAACAATCTTCTCGTACTATCTGGCAGTGGACATTTTGAGCTCCTTGGGGCCTATGCTGAAAAAGGAAATATCTTCCGACAAAAACTAGACAGAAGCATTCGCAGAATCACGTTTGTGATGTGTGCACTCAACTGTCAGAATTGAACCTTGGTTTGGACAGAGCACTTTTGAAACACTCTTTTTGTAGAATCTGCAGGTGGATATTTGGCTAGCTTTGAGGATTTCGTTGGAAACGGTAATGTCTTCAAAGAAAATCTAGACAGAAGCATTCTCAGAAACACCTTCGTGATGTTTGCAATCAAGTCACAGAGTTGAACCTTCCGTTTCATAGAGCAGGTTGGAAACACTCTTTTTGTAGTATCTGGAAGTGGACATTTGGAGGGCTTTGTAGCCTATCTGGAAAAAGGAAATATCTTCCCATGAATGCGAGATAGAAGCTATCTCAGGAACTTGTTTATGATGCATCCAATCAACTAACAGTGTTGAACTTTTGTACTGACAGAGCAGTGTGAAACACTCTTTTTTTTGGAATCTGCAAGTGGATATTTGGATCGCTTTGAGGATTTCGTTGGAAACGGGATGCAATATAAATCGTACACAGCAGCATACTCAGCAAAATACTTTGCCATATTTCCATTCAAGTCACAGAGTGGAACATTCCCATTCATAGAGCAGGTTGGAAACACTCTTTTTGGAATATCTGGAAGTGGACATTTGGAGCGCTTTCTGAACTATGGTGAAAAAGGAAATATCTTCCAATGAAAACAAGACAGAAGCATTCTGAGAAACTTATTTGTGATGTGTGTCCTCAACAAACGGACTTGAACCTTTCGTTTCATGCAGTACTTCTGGAACACTCTTTTTGAAGATTCTGCATGCGGATATTTGGATAGCTTTGAGGATTTCGTTGGAAACGGGCTTACATGTAAAAATTAGACAGCAGCATTCTCAGAAACTTCTTTGTGGTGTCTGCGTTCAAGTCACAGAATTGAACATCCCCTCACATAGAGCAGCTGTGCAGCACTCTATTTGTAGTATCTCGAAATGTACATTTGGAGGGCTTTGTAGCCTATCTGGAAAAAGGAAATATCTTCCCATGAATGCGAGATAGAAGTAATCTCAGAAACATGTTTATGCTGTATCTACTCAACTAACTGTGCTGAACATTTCTATTGATAGAGCAGTTTTGAGACACTCTTCTTTTGGAATCTGCAAGTGGATATTTGGATAGATTTGAGGATTTCGTTGGAAACGGGATTATATATCAAAAGTAGACAGCAGCATTCTCAGAAACTTCTTTGTGATGTTTGCATCCAGCTCTCAGAGTTGAACATTCCCTTTCATAGAGTAGGTTTGAAACCCTCTTTTTATAGTTTCTGGAAGCGGGCATTTGGAGCGCTTTCAGGCCTATGCTGAAAAAGGAAATATCTACCTACAGAAACTAGACAGAAGCATTCTGAGAATCACGTTTGTGATGTGGGTACTCAACTAACAGTGTTGATCCATTCTTTTGATACAGCAGTTTTGAACCACCCTTTTTGTAGAATCTGCAAGTGGATATTTGGATAGCTGTGAGGATTTCGTTGGAAACGGGAATGTCTTCATAGAAAATTTAGACAGAAGCATTCTCAGAACCTGGATTGTGATGTGTGTTCTCCACTAACAGAGTTGAACCTTTCTTTGGACAGAACTGTTTTGAAACATTCTTTTTATAGAATCTGGAAGTGGATATTTGGAAAGCTTTGAGGATTTCGTTGGAAACGGGAATATCTTCAAATAAAATCTAGCCAGAAGCATTCTAAGAAACATCTTAGGGATGTTTACATTCAAGTCACAGAGTTGAACATTCCCTTTCACAGAGCAGGTTTGAAACAATCTTCTCGTACTATCTGGCAGTGGACATTTTGAGCTCCTTGGGGCCTATGCTGAAAAAGGAAATATCTTCCGACAAAAACTAGACAGAAGCATTCGCAGAATCACGTTTGTGATGTATGCACTCAACTGTCAGAATTGAACCTTGGTTTGGACAGAGCACTTTTGAAACACTCTTTTTGTAGAATCTGCAGGTGGATATTTGGCTAGCTTTGAGGATTTCTTTGGAAACGGTAATGTCTTCAAAGAAAATCTAGACAGAAGCATTCTCAGAAACACCTTCGTGATGTTTGCAATCAAGACACAGAGTTGAACCTTCCGTTTCATAGAGCAGGTTGGAAACACTCTTTTTGTAGTATCTGGAAGTGGACATTTGGAGGGCTTTGTAGCCTATCTGAAAAAGGAAATATCTTCCCATGAATGCGAGATAGAAGTAATCTCAGAAACATGTTTATGCTGTATCTACTCAACTAACTGTGCTGAACATTTCTATTGATAGAGCAGTTTTGAGACACTCTTCTTTTGGAATCTGCAAGTGGATATTTGGATAGATTTGAGGATTTCGTTGGAAACGGGATTATGTATAAAAAGTAGACAGCAGCATTCTCAGAAACTTCTTTGTGATGTTTGCATCCAGCTCTCAGAGTTGAGCATTCCCTTTCATAGAGTAGGTTTGAAACCCTCTTTTTATAGTGTCTGGAAGCGGGCATTTGGAGCGCTTTCAGGCCTATGCTTAAAATAGGAAATATCTACCTACAGAAACTAGACAGAAGCATTCTGAGAATCACGTTTGTGATGTGGGTACTCAACTAACAGTGTTGATCCATTCTTTTGATACAGCAGTTTTGAACCACACTTTTTGTAGAATCTGTAAGAGGATATTTGGATAGCTGTGAGGATTTCGTTGGAAACGGGAATGTCTTCAAAGAAAATCTAGACAGAAACATTCTCAGAAACACCTTCGTGATGTTTGCAATCAAGTCACAGAGTTGAAGCTTCCGTTTCGTAGAGCAGGTTGGAAACACTCTTTTTGTAGTATCTGGAAGTGGACATTTGGAGCGCTTTCAGGCCTATGGTGAAGAAGGAAATATCTTCCCATAAAAACGACATAGAAGCTATCTCAGGAACTTGTTTATGATGCATCCAATCAACTAACAGTGTTGAACCTTTGTACTGACAGAGCAGTGTGAAACACTCTTTTTTTTGGAATCTGCAAGTGGATATTTGGATCGCTTTGAGGATTTCGTTGGAAACGGGATGCAATATAAAACGTACACAGAGCATACTCAGAAAATACTTTGCCATATTTCCATTCAAGTCACAGTAGTGGAACATTCCCATTCATAGAGCAGGTTGGAAACACTCTTTTTGGAGTATCTGGAAGTGGACATTTGGAGCGCTTTCTGAACTATGGTGAAAAAGGAAATATCTTCCAATGAAAACAAGACAGAAGCATTCTGAGAAACTTATTTGTGATGTGTGTCCTCAACAAACGGACTTGAACCTTTCGTTTCATGCAGTACTTCTGGAACACTCTTTTTGAAGATTCTGCATGCGGATATTTGGATAGCTTTGAGGATTTCGTTGGAAACGGGCTTACATGTAAAAATTAGACAGCAGCATTCTCAGAAACTTCTTTGTGGTGTCTGCATTCAAGTCACAGAATTGAACTTCCCCTCACATAGAGCAGTTGTGCAGCACTCTATTTGTAGTATCTGGAAGTGGACATTTGGAGGGCTTTGTAGCCTATCTGGAAAAAGGAAATATCTTCCCATGAATGCGAGATAGAAGTAATCTCAGAAACATGTTTATGCTGTATCTACTCAACTAACTGTGCTGAACATTTCTATTGATAGAGCAGTTTTGAGACCCTCTTCTTTTGGAATCTGCAAGTGGATATTTGGATAGATTTGAGGATTTCGTTGGAAACGGGATTATATATAAAAAGTAGACAGCCAGCATTCTCAGAAACTTCTTTGTGATGTTTGCATCCAGCTCTCAGAGTTGAACATTCCCTTTCATAGAGTAGGTTTGAAACCCTCTTTTTATAGTGTCTGGAAGCGGGCATTTGGAGCGCTTTCAGGCCTATGCTGAAAAAGGAAATATCTACCTATAGAAACTAGACAGAGCATTCTGAGAATCACGTTTGTGATGTGGGTACTCAACTAACAGTGTTGATCCATTCTTTTGATACAGCAGTTTTGAACCACACTTTTTGTAGAATCTGCAAGTGGATATTTGGATAGCTGTGAGGATTTCGTTGGAAACGGGAATGTCTTCATAGAAAATTTAGACAGAAGCATTCTCAGAACCTTGATTGTGATGTGTGTTCTCCACTAACAGAGTTGAACCTTTCTTTTGACAGAACTGTTCTGAAACATTCTTTTTATAGAATCTGGAAGTGGATATTTGGAAAGCTTTGAGGATTTCGTTGGAAACGGGAATATCTTCAAATAAAATCTAGCCAGAAGCATTCTAAGAAACATCTTAGGGATGTTTACATTCAAGTCACAGAGTTGAACATTCCCTTTCACAGAGCAGGTTTGAAACAATCTTCTCGTACTATATGGCAGTGGACATTTTGAGCTCCTTGGGGCCTATGCTGAAAAAGGAAATATCTTCCGACAAAAACTAGACAGAAGCATTCGCAGAATCACGTTTGTGATGTGTGCACTCAACTGTCAGAATTGAACCTTGGTTTGGACAGAGCACTTTTGAAACACTCTTTTTGTAGAATCTGCAGGTGGATATTTGGCTAGCTTTGAGGATTTCGTTGGAAACGGTAATGTCTTCAAAGAAAATCTAGACAGAAGCATTCTCAGAAACACCTTCGTGATGTTTGCAATCAAGTCACAGAGTTGAACCTTCCGTTTCATAGAGCAGGTTGGAAACACTCTTTTTGTAGTATCTGGAAGTGGACATTTGGAGCGCTTTCAGGCCTATGGTGAAAAAGGAAATATCTTCCCATAAAAACGACATAGAAGCTATCTCAGGAACTTGTTTATGATGCATCTAATCAACTAACAGCGTTGAACCTTTGTACTGACAGAGCAGTTTGAAACACTCTTTTTTTGGAATCTGCAAGTGGATATTTGGATCGCTTTGAGGATTTCGTTGGAAACGGGATGCAATATAAAACGTACACAGCAGCATACTCAGAAAATACTTTGCCATATTTCCATTCAAGTCACAGAGTGGAACATTCCCATTCATAGAGCAGGTTGGAAACACTCTTTTTGGAGTATCTGGAAGTGGACATTTGGAGCGCTTTCTGAACTATGGTGAAAAAGGAAATATCTTCCAAGAAAACAAGACAGAAGCATTCTGAGAAACTTATTTGTGATGTGTGTCCTCAACAAACGGACTTGAACCTTTCGTTTCATGCAGTACTTCTGGAACACTCTTTTTGAAGATTCTGCATGCGGATATTTGGATAGCTTTGAGGATTTCGTTGGAAACGGGCTTACATGTAAAAATTAGACAGCAGCATTCTCAGAAACTTCTTTGTGGTGTCTGCATTCAAGTCACAGAATTGAACATCCCCTCACATAGAGCAGTTGTGCAGCACTCTATTTGTAGTATCTGGAAGTGGACATTTGGAGGGCTTTGTAGCCTATGTGGAAAAAGGAAATATCTTCCCATGAATGCGAGATAGAAGTAATCTCAGAAACATGTTTATGCTGTATCTACTCAACTAACTGTGCTGAACATTTCTATTGATAGAGCAGTTTTGAGACACTCTTCTTTTGGAATCTGCAAGTGGATATTTGGATAG
Organism: Homo sapiens; assembly: GCF_000001405.40. Taxonomy (NCBI): domain Eukaryota; kingdom Metazoa; phylum Chordata; class Mammalia; order Primates; family Hominidae; genus Homo; species Homo sapiens. The sequence goes on from NC_000008.11 coordinate 45,577,522, forward strand.
ATTTGAGGATTTCGTTGGAAACGGGATTATATATAAAAAGTAGACAGCAGCATTCTCAGAAACTTCTTTGTGATGTTTGCATCCAGCTCTCAGAGTTGAACATTCCCTTTCATAGAGTAGGTTTGAAACCCTCTTTTTATAGTGTCTGGAAGCGGGCATTTGGAGCGCTTTCAGGCCTATGCTGAAAAAGGAAATATCTACCTATAGAAACTAGACAGAAGCATTCTGAGAATCACGTTTGTGATGTGGGTACTCAACTAACAGTGTTGATCCATTCTTTTGATACAGCAGTTTTGAACCACACTTTTTGTAGAATCTGCAAGTGGATATTTGGATAGCTGTGAGGATTTCGTTGGAAACGGGAATGTCTTCATAGAAAATTTAGACAGAAGCATTCTCAGAACCTTGATTGTGATGTGTGTTCTCCACTAACAGAGTTGAACCTTTCTTTTGACAGAACTGTTCTGAAACATTCTTTATATAGAATCTGGAAGTGGATATTTGGAAAGCTTTGAGGATTTCGTTGGAAACGGGAATATCTTCAAATCAAATCTAGCCAGAAGCATTCTAAGAAACATCTTAGGGATGTTTACATTCAAGTCACAGAGTTGAACATTCCCTTTCACAGAGCAGGTTTGAAACAATCTTCTCGTACTATCTGGCAGTGGACATTTTGAGCTCCTTGGGGCCTATGCTGAAAAAGGAAATATCTTCCGACAAAAACTAGACAGAAGCATTCGCAGAATCACGTTTGTGATGTGTGCACTCAACTGTCAGAATTGAACCTTGGTTTGGACAGAGCACTTTTGAAACACTCTTTTTGTAGAATCTGCAGGTGGATATTTGGCTAGCTTTGAGGATTTCGTTGGAAACGGTAATGTCTTCAAAGAAAATCTAGACAGAAGCATTCTCAGAAACACCTTCGTGATGTTTGCAATCAAGTCACAGAGTTGAACCTTCCGTTTCATAGAGCAGGTTGGAAACACTCTTTTTGTAGTATCTGGAAGTGGACATTTGGAGGGCTTTGTAGCCTATGTGGAAAAAGGAAATATCTTCCCATGAATGCGAGATAGAAGTAATCTCAGAAACATGTTTATGCTGTATCTACTCAACTAACTGTGCTGAACATTTCTATTGATAGAGCAGTTTTGAGACACTCTTCTTTTGGAATCTGCAAGTGGATATTTGGATAGATTTGAGGATTTCGTTGGAAACGGGATTATATATCAAAAGTAGACAGCAGCATTCTCAGAAACTTCTTTGTGATGTTTGCATCCAGCTCTCAGAGTTGAACATTCCCTTTCATAGAGTAGGTTTGAAACCCTCTTTTTATAGTGTCTGGAAGCGGGCATTTGGAGCGCTTTCACGCCTATGCTGAAAAAGGAAATATCTACCTACAGAAACTAGTCAGAAGCATTCTGAGAATCACGTTTGTGATGTGGGTACTCAACTAACAGTGTTGATCCATTCTTTTGATACAGCAGTTTTGAACCACACTTTTTGTAGAATCTGCAAGAGGATATTTGGATAGCTGTGAGGATTTCGTTGGAAACGGGAATGTCTTCAAAGAAAATCTAGACAGAAGCATTCTCAGAAACACCTTCGTGATGTTTGCAATCAAGTCACAGAGTTGAACCTTCCGTTTCATAGAGCAGGTTGGAAACACTCTTATTGTAGTATCTGGAAGTGGACATTTGGAGCGCTTTCAGGCCTATGGTGAAAAAGGAAATATCTTCCCATAAAAACGACATAGAAGCTATCTCAGGAACTTGTTTATGATGCATCTAATCAACTAACAGTGTTGAACCTTTGTACTGACAGAGCAGTTTGAAACACTCTTTTTTTGGAATCTGCAAGTGGATATTTGGATCGCTTTGAGGATTTCGTTGGAAACGGGATGCAATATAAAACGTACACAGCAGCATACTCAGAAAATACTTTGCCATATTTCCATTCAAGTCACAGAGTGGAACATTCCCATTCATAGAGCAGGTTTGAAACACTCTTTTTGGAGTATCTGGAAGTGGACATTTGGAGCGCTTTCTGAACTATGGTGAAAAAGGAAATATCTTCCAATGAAAACAAGACAGAAGCATTCTGAGAAACTTATTTGTGATGTGTGTCCTCAACAAACGGACTTGAACCTTTCGTTTCATGCAGTACTTCTGGAACACTCTTTTTGAAGATTCTGCATGCGGATATTTGGATTGCTTTGAGGATTTCGTTGGAAACGGGCTTACATGTAAAAATTAGACAGCAGCATTCTCAGAAACTTCTTTGTGGTGTCTGCATTCAAGTCACAGAATTGAACTTCCCCTCACATAGAGCAGTTGTGCAGCACTCTATTTGTAGTATCTGGAAGTGGACATTTGGAGGGCTTTGTAGCCTATCTGGAAAAAGGAAATATCTTCCCATGAATGCGAGATAGAAGTAATCTCAGAAACATGTTTATGCTGTATCTACTCAACTAACTGTGCTGAACATTTCTATTGATAGAGCAGTTTTGAGACACTCTTCTTTTGGAATCTGCAAGTGGATATTTGGATAGATTTGAGGATTTCGTTGGAAACGGGATTATATATAAAAAGTAGACAGCAGCATTCTCAGAAACTTCTTTGTGATGTTTGCATCCAGCTCTCAGAGTTGAACATTCCCTTTCATAGAGTAGGTTTGAAACCCTCTTTTTATAGTGTCTGGAAGCGGGCATTTGGAGCGCTTTCAGGCCTATGCTTAAAATAGGAAATATCTACCTACAGAAACTAGACAGAAGCATTCTGAGAATCACGTTTGTGATGTGGGTACTCAACTAACAGTGTTGATCCATTCTTTTGATACAGCAGTTTTGAACCACACTTTTTGTAGAATCTGCAAGAGGATATTTGGATAGCTGTGAGGATTTCGTTGGAAACGGGAATGTCTTCAAAGAAAATCTAGACAGAAGCATTCTCAGAAACACCTTCGTGATGTTTGCAATCAAGTCACAGAGTTGAACCTTCCGTTTCATAGAGTAGGTTGGAAACACTCTTATTGTAGTATCTGGAAGTGGACATTTGGAGCGCTTTCAGGCCTATGGTGAAAAAGGAAATATCTTCCCATAAAAACGACATAGAAGCTATCTCAGGAACTTGTTTATGATGCATCTAATCAACTAACAGTGTTGAACCTTTGTACTGACAGAGCAGTTTGAAACACTCTTTTTTTGGAATCTGCAAGTGGATATTTGGATCGCTTTGAGGATTTCGTTGGAAACGGGATGCAATATAAAACGTACACAGCAGCATACTCAGAAAATACTTTGCCATATTTCCATTCAAGTCACAGAGTGGAACATTCCCATTCATAGAGCAGGTTTGAAACACTCTTTTTGGAGTATCTGGAAGTGGACATTTGGAGCGCTTTCTGAACTATGGTGAAAAAGGAAATATGTTCCAATGAAAACAAGACAGAAGCATTCTGAGAAACTTATTTGTGATGCGTGTCCTCAACTAACGGACTCGAACCTTTCGTTTCATGCAGTACTTCTGGAACACTCTTTTTGAAGATTCTGCATGCGGATATTTGGATAGCTTTGAGGATTTCGTTGGAAACGGGCTTACGTATAAAAATTAGACAGCAGCATTCTCAGAAACTTCTTTGTGGTGTCTGCATTCAAGTCACAGAACTGAACATCCCCTCACATAGAGCAGTTGTGCAGCACTCTATTTGTAGTATCTCGAAGTGGACATTTGGAGGGCTTTGTAGCCTATCTGGAAAAAGGAAATATCTTCCCATGAATGCGAGATAGAAGTAATCTCAGAAACATGTTTATGCTGTATCTACCCAACTAAGTGTGCTGAACATTTCTATTAATAGAGCAGTTTTGAGACACTCTTCTTTTCGAATCTGCAAGTGGATATTTGGCTAGATTTGAGGATTTCGTTGGAAACGGGATTATATATAAAAAGCAGACAGCAGCATTCTCAGAAACTTCTTTGTGATGTTTGCATCCAGCTCTCAGAGTTGAACATTCCGTTTCATAGAGTAGGTTTGAAACCCCCTTTTTATAGTGTCTGGAAGCGGGCATTTGGAGCGCTTTCAGGCCTATGCTGAAAAAGGAAATATCTACCTACAGAAACTAGACAGAAGCATTCTGAGAATCACGTTTGTGATGTGGGTACTCAACTAACAGTGTTGATCCATTCTTTTGATACAGCAGTTTTGAACCACCCTTTTTGTAGAATCTGCAAGTGGATATTTGGATAGCTGTGAGGATTCGTTGGGAACGGGAATTTCTTCATAGAAAATTTAGACAGAAGCATTCTCAGAACCTGGATTGTGATGTGTGTTCTCCACTAACAGAGTTGAACCTTTCTTTTGACAGAACTGTTTTGAAACATTCTTTTTATAGAATCTGGAAGTGGATATTTGGAAAGCTTTGAGGATTTCGTTGGAAACGGGAATATCTTCAAATAAAATCTAGCCAGAAGCATTCTAAGAAACATCTTAGGGATGTTTACATTCAAGTCACAGAGTTGAACATTCCCTTTCACAGAGCAGGTTTGAAACAATCTTCTCGTACTATCTGGCAGTGGACATTTTGAGCTCCTTGGGGCCTATGCTGAAAAAGGAAATATCTTCCGACAAAAACTAGACAGAGAAGCATTCGCAGAATCACGTTTGTGATGTGTGCACTCAACTGTCAGAATTGAACCTTGGTTTGGACAGAGCACTTTTGAAACACTCTTTTTGTAGAATCTGCAGGTGGATATTTGGCTAGCTTTGAGGATTTCGATGGAAACGCTAATGTCTTCAAAGAAAATCTAGACAGAAACATCCTCAGAAACACCTTCGTGATGTTTGCAATCAAGTCACAGTAGTTGAACCTTCCGTTTCATAGAGCAGGTTGGAAACACTCATTTTGTAGTGTCTAGAAGTGGACATTTGGAGCGCTTTCAGGCCTATGGTGTAAAAGGAAATATCTTCCCATAAAAGCGACATAGAAGCTATCTCAGGAACTTGTTTATGATGCATCTAATCAACTAACAGTGTTGAACCTTTGTACTGACAGAGCAGTTTGAAACACTCTTTTTTTGGAATCTGCAAGTGGATATTTGGATCACTTTGAGGATTTCGTTGGAAACGGGATGCAATATAAAACGTACACAGCAGCATACTCAGAAAATACTTTGCCATATTTCCATTCAAGTCACAGAGTGGAACATTCCCATTCATAGAGCAGGTTGGAAACACTCTTTTTGGAGTATCTGGAAGTGGACATTTGGAGCGCTTTCTGAACTATGGTGAAAAAGGAAATATCTTCCAATGAAAACAAGACAGAAGCATTCTGAGAAACTTATTTGTGATGTGTGTCCTCAACAAACGGACTTGAACCTTTCGTTTCATGCAGTACTTCTGGAACACTCTTTTTGAAGATTCTGCATGCGGATATTTGGATAGCTTTGAGGATTTCGTTGGAAACGGTCTTACATGTAAAAATTAGACAACAGCATTCTCAGAAACTTCTTTGTGGTGTCTGCATTCAAGTCACAGAATTGAACTTCCCCTCACATAGAGCAGTTGTGCAGCACTCTATTTGTAGTATCTGGAAGTGGACATTTGGAGGGCTTTGTAGCCTATCTGGAAAAAGGAATTATCTTCCCATGAATGCGAGATAGAAGTAATCTCAGAAACATGTTTATGCTGTATCTACTCAACTAACTGTGCTGAACATTTCTATTGATAGAGCAGTTTTGAGACACTCTTCTTTTGGAATCTGCAAGTGGATATTTGGATAGATTTGAGGATTTCGTTGGAAACGGGATTATATATAAAAAGTAGACAGCAGCATTCTCAGAAACTTCTTTGTGATGTTTGCATCCAGCTCTCAGAGTTGAACATTCCCTTTCATAGAGTAGGTTTGAAACCCTCTTTTTATAGTGTCTGGAAGCGGGCATTTGGAGCGCTTTCAGGCCTGTGCTGAAAAAGGAAATATCTACCTATAGAAACTAGACAGAAGCATTCTGAGAATCACGTTTGTGATGTGGGTACTCAACTAACAGTGTTGATCCATTCTTTTGATACAGCAGTTTTGAACCACACTTATTGTAGAATCTGCAAGTGGATATTTGGATAGCTGTGAGGATTTCCTTGGAAACGGGAATGTCTTCATAGAAAATTTAGACAGAAGCATTCTCAGAACCTTGATTGTGAAGTGTGTTCCCCACTAACAGAGTTGAACCTTTCTTTTGACAGAACTGTTCTGAAACATTCTTGTTATAGAATCTGGAAGTGGATATTTGGAAAGCTTTGAGGATTTCGTTGGAAACGGGAATATCTTCAAATCAAATCTAGCCAGAAGCATTCTAAGAAACATCTTAGGGATGTTTACATTCAAGTCACAGAGTTGAACATTCCCTTTCACAGAGCAGGTTTGAAACAATCTTCTCGTACTATCTGGCAGTGGACATTTTGAGCTCCTTGGGGCCTATGCTGAAAAAGGAAATATCTTCCGACAAAAACTAGACAGAAACATTCGCAGAATCACGTTTGTGATGTGTGCACTCAACTGTCAGAAATTGAACCTTGGTTTGGACAGAGCACTTTTGAAACACTCTTTTTGTAGAATCTGCAGGTGGATATTTGACTAGCTTTGAGGATTTCGTTGGAAACGGTAATGTCTTCAAAGAAAATCTAGACAGAAACATTCTCAGAAACACCTTCGTGATGTTTGCAATCAAGTCACAGAGTTGAACCTTCCGTTTCATAGAGCAGGTTGGAAACACTCTTTTTGTAGTATCTGGAAGTGGACATTTGGAGCGCTTTCAGGCCTATGGTGAAAAAGGAAATATCTTCCCATAAAAACGACATAGAAGCTATCTCAGGAACTTGTTTATGATGCATCTAATCAACTAACAGTGTTGAACCTTTGTACTGACAGAGCAGTTTGAAACACTCTTTTTTTGGAATCTGCAAGTGGATATTTGGATCGCTTTGAGGATTTCGTTGGAAACGGGATGCAATATAAAACGTACACAGCAGCATACTCAGAAAATACTTTGCCATATTTCCATTCAAGTCACAGAGTGGAACATTCCCATTCATAGAGCAGGTTTGAAACACTCTTTTTGGAGTATCTGGAAGTGGACATTTGGAGCGCTTTCTGAACTATGGTGAAAAAGGAAATATCTTCCAATGAAAACAAGACAGAAGCATTCTGAGAAACTTATTTGTGATGTGTGTCCTCAACAAACGGACTTGAACCTTTCGTTTCATGCAGTACTTCTGGAACACTCTTTTTGAAGATATTGCATGCGGATATTTGGATAGCTTTGAGGATTTCGTTGGAAACGGGTTTACATGTAAAAATTAGACAGCAGCATTCTCAGAAACTTCTTTGTGGAGTCTGCATTCAAGTCACAGAATTGAACTTCCCCTCACATAGAGCAGTTGTGCAGCACTCTATTTGTAGTATCTGGAAGTGGACATTTGGAGGGCTTTGTAGCCTATCTGGAAAAAGGAAATATCTTCCCATGAATGCGAGATAGAAGTAATCTCAGAAACATGTTTATGCTGTATCTACTCAACTAACTGTGCTGAACATTTCTATTGATAGAGCAGTTTTGAGACACTCTTCTTTTGGAATCTGCAAGTGGATATTTGGATAGATTTGAGGATTTCGTTGGAAACGGGATTATATATAAAAAGTAGACAGCAGCATTCTCAGAAACTTCTTTGTGATGTTTGCATGCAGCTCTCAGAGTTGAACATTCCCTTTCATAGAGTAGGTTTGCAACCCTCTTTTTATAGTGTCTGGAAGCGGGCATTTGGAGCGCTTTCAGGCCTATGCTGAAAAAGGAAATATCTACCTATAGAAACTAGACAGAAGCATTCTGAGAATCACGTTTGTGATGTGGGTACTCAACTAACAGTGTTGATCCATTCTTTTGATACAGCAGTTTTGAACCACACTTTTTGTAGAATCTGCAAGTGGATATTTGGATAGCTGTGAGGATTTCGTTGGAAACGGGAATGTCTTCATAGAAAATTTAGACAGAAGCATTCTCAGAACCTTGATTGTGAAGTGTGTTCTCCACTAACAGAGTTGAACCTTTCTTTTGACAGAACTGTTCTGAAACATTCTTGTTATAGAATCTGGAAGTGGATATTTGGAAAGCTTTGAGGATTTCGTTGGAAACGGGAATATCTTCAAATCAAATCTAGCCAGAAGCATTCTAAGAAACATCTTAGGGATGTTTACATTCAAGTCACAGAGTTGAACATTCCCTTTCACAGAGCAGGTTTGAAACAATCTTCTCGTACTATCTGGCAGTGGACATTTTGAGCTCCTTGGGGCCTATGCTGAAAAAGGAAATATCTTCCGACAAAAACTAGACAGAAGCATTCGCAGAATCACGTTTGTGATGTGTGCACTCAACTGTCAGAATTGAACCTTGGTTTGGACAGAGCACTTTTGAAACACTCTTTTTGTAGAATCTGCAGGTGGATATTTGGCTAGCTTTGAGGATTTCGTTGGAAACGGTAATGTCTTCAAAGAAAATCTAGACAGAAGCATTCTCAGAAACACCTTCGTGATGTTTGCAATCAAGTCACAGAGTTGAACCTTCCGTTTCATAGAGCAGGTTGGAAACACTCTTTTTGTAGTATCTGGAAGTGGACATTTGGAGGGCTTTGTAGCCTATGTGGAAAAAGGAAATATCTTCCCATGAATGCGAGATAGAAGTAATCTCAGAAACATGTTTATGCTGTATCTACTCAACTAACTGTGCTGAACATTTCTATTTATAGAGCAGTTTTGAGACACTCTTCTTTTGGAATCTGCAAGTGGATATTTGGAGAGATTTGAGGATTTCGTTGGAAACGGGATTATATATCAAAAGTAGACAGCAGCATTCTCAGAAACTTCTTTGTGATGTTTGCATCCAGCTCTCAGAGTTGAACATTCCCTTTCATAGAGTAGGTTTGAAACCCTCTTTTTATAGTGTCTGGAAGCGGGCATTTGGAGCGCTTTCAGGCCTATGCTTAAAATAGGAAATATCTACCTACAGAAACTAGACAGAAGCATTCTGAGAATCACGTTTGTGATGTGGGTACTCAACTAACAGTGTTGATCTATTCTTTTGATACAGCAGTTTTGAACCACACTTTTTGTAGAATCTGCAAGAGGATATTTGGATAGCTGTGAGGATTTCGTTGGAAACGGGAATGTCTTCAAAGAAAATCTAGACAGAAGCATTCTCAGAAATACCTTCGTGATGTTTGCAATCAAGTCACAGAGTTGAACCTTCCGTTTCATAGAGCAGGTTGGAAACACTCTTATTGTAGTATCTGGAAGTGGACATTTGGAGCGCTTTCAGGCCTATGGTGAAAAAGGAAATATCTTCCCATAAAAACGATATAGAAGCTATCTCAGGAACTTGTTTATGATGCATCTAATCAACTAACAGTGTTGAACCTTTGTACTGACAGAGCACTTTGAAACACTCTTTTTTTGGAATCTGCAAGTGGATATTTGGATCGCTTTGAGGATTTCGTTGGAAACGGGATGCAATATAAAACGTACACAGCAGCATACTCAGAAAATACTTTGCCATATTTCCATTCAAGTCACAGAGTGGAACATTCCCATTCATAGAGCAGGTTGGAAACACTCTTTTTGGAGTATCTGGAAGTGGACATTTGGAGCGCTTTCTGAACTATGGTGAAAAAGGAAATATCTTCCAATGAAAACAAGACAGAAGCATTCTGAGAAACTTATTTGTGATGTGTGTCCTCAACAAACGGACTTGAACCTTTCGTTTCATGCAGTACTTCTGGAACACTCTTTTTGAAGATTCTGCATGCGGATATTTGGATAGCTTTGAGGATTTCGTTGGAAACGGGCTTACATGTAAAAATTAGACAGCAGCATTCTCAGAAACTTCTTTGTGGTGTCTGCATTCAAGTCACAGAATTGAACATCCCCTCACATAGAGCAGTTGTGCAGCACTCTATTTGTAGTATCTGGAAGTGGACATTTGGAGGGCTTTGTAGCCTATGTGGAAAAAGGAAATATCTTCCCATGAATGCGAGATAGAAGTAATCTCAGAAACATGTTTATGCTGTATCTACTCAACTAACTGTGCTGAACATTTCTATTGATAGAGCAGTTTTGAGACACTCTTCTTTTGGAATCTGCAAGTGGATATTTGGATAGATTTGAGGATTTCGTTGGAAACGGGATTATATATAAAAAGTAGACAGCAGCATTCTCAGAAACTTCTTTGTGATGTTTGCATCCAGCTCTCAGAGTTGAACATTCCCTTTCATAGAGTAGGTTTGAAACCCTCTTTTTATAGTGTCTGCAAGCGGGCATTTGGAGCGCTTTCAGGCCTATGCTTAAAATAGGAAATATCTACCTACAGAAACTAGACAGAAGCATTCTGAGAATCACGTTTGTGATGTGGGTACTCAACTAACAGTGTTGATCCATTCTTTTGATACAGCAGTTTTGAACCACACTTTTTGTAGAATCTGCAAGAGGATATTTGGATAGCTGTGAGGATTTCGTTGGAAACGGGAATGTCTTCAAAGAAAATCTAGACAGAAGCATTCTCAGAAACACCTTCGTGATGTTTGCAATCAAGTCACAGAGTTGAACCTTCCGTTTCATAGAGCAGGTTGGAAACACTCTTATTGTAGTATCTGGAAGTGGACATTTGGAGCGCTTTCAGGCCTATGGTGAAAAAGGAAATATCTTCCCATAAAAACGACATAGAAGCTATCTCAGGAACTTGTTTATGATGCATCTAATCAACTAACAGTGTTGAACCTTTGTACTGACAGAGCACTTTGAAACACTCTTTTTTTGGAATCTGCAAGTGGATATTTGGATCGCTTTGAGGATTTCGTTGGAAACGGGATGCAATATAAAACGTACACAGCAGCATACTCAGAAAATACTTTGCCATATTTCCATTCAAGTCACAGAGTGGAACATTCCCATTCATAGAGCAGGTTTGAAACACTCTTTTTGGAGTATCTGGAAGTGGACATTTGGAGCGCTTTCTGAACTATGGTGAAAAAGGAAATATCTTCCAATGAAAACAAGACAGAAGCATTCTGAGAAACTTATTTGTGATGTGTGTCCTCAACAAACGGACTTGAACCTTTCGTTTCATGCAGTACTTCTGGAACACTCTTTTTGAAGATTCTGCATGCGGATATTTGGATAGCTTTGAGGATTTCGTTGGAAACGGGCTTACATGTAAAAATTAGACAGCAGCATTCTCAGAAACTTCTTTGTGGTGTCTGCATTCAAGTCACAGAATTGAACTTCCCCTCACATAGAGCAGTTGTGCAGCACTCTATTTGTAGTATCTGGAAGTGGACATTTGGAGGGCTTTGTAGCCTATCTGGAAAAAGGAAATATCTTCCCATGAATGCGAGATAGAAGTAATCTCAGAAACATGTTTATGCTGTATCTACTCAACTAACTGTGCTGAACATTTCTATTGATAGAGCAGTTTTCAGACACTCTTCTTTTGGAATCTGCAAGTGGATATTTGGATAGATTTGAGGATTTCGTTGGAAACGGGATTATATATAAAAAGTAGACAGCAGCATTCTCAGAAACTTCTTTGTGATGTTTGCATCCAGCTCTCAGAGTTGAACATTCCCTTTCATAGAGTAGGTTTGAAACCCTCTTTTTATAGTGTCTGGAAGCGGGCATTTGGAGCGCTTTCAGGCCTATGCTGAAAAAGGAAATATCTACCTATAGAAACTAGACAGAAGCATTCTGAGAATCACGTTTGTGATGTGGGTACTCAACTAGCAGTGTTGATCCATTCTTTTGATACAGCAGTTTTGAACCACACTTTTTGTAGAATCTGCAAGTGGATATTTGGATAGCTGTGAGGATTTCGTTGGAAACGGGAATGTCTTCATAGAAAATTTAGACAGAAGCATTCTCAGAACCTTGATTGTGATGTGTGTTCTCCACTAACAGAGTTGAACCTTTCTTTTGACAGAACTGTTCTGAAACATTCTTTTTATAGAATCTGGAAGTGGATATTTTGAAAGCTTTGAGGATTTCATTGGAAACGGGAATATCTTCAAATAAAATCTAGCCAGAAGCATTCTAAGAAACATCTTAGGGATGTTTACATTCAAGTCACAGAGTTGAACATTCCCTTTCACAGAGCAGGTTTGAAACAATCTTCTCGTAGTATCTGGAAGTGGACATTTTGAGCTCCTTGGGGCCTATGCTGAAAAAGGAAATATCTTCCGACAAAAACTAGACAGAAGCATTCGCAGAATCACGTTTGTGATGTGTGCACTCAACTGTCAGAATTGAACCTTGGTTTGGACAGAGCACTTTTGAAACACTCTTTTTGTAGAATCTGCAGGTGGATATTTGGCTAGCTTTGAGGATTTCGTTGGAAACGGTAATGTCTTCAAAGAAAATCTAGACAGAAACATTCTCAGAAACACCTTCGTGATGTTTGCAATCAAGTCACAGAGTTGAACCTTCCGTTTCATAGAGCAGGTTGGAAACACTCTTATTGTAGTATCTGGAAGTGGACATTTGGAGCGCTTTCAGGCCTATGGTGAAAAAGGAAATATCTTCCCATAAAAACGACATAGAAGCTATCTCAGGAACTTTTTTATGATGCATCTAATCAACTAACAGTGTTGAACCTTTGTACTGACAGAGCAGTTTGAAACACTCTTTTTTTGGAATCTGCAAGTGGATATTTGGATCGCTTTGAGGATTTCGTTGGAAACGGGATGCAATATAAAACGTACACAGCAGCATACTCAGAAAATACTTTGCCATATTTCCATTCAAGTCACAGAGTGGAACATTCCCATTCATAGAGCAGGTTTGAAACACTCTTTTTGGAGTATCTGGAAGTGGACATTTGGAGCGCTTTCTGAACTATGGTGAAAAAGGAAATATCTTCCAATGAAAACAAGACAGAAGCATTCTGAGAAACTTATTTGTGATGTGTGTCCTCAACAAACGGACTTGAACCTTTCGTTTCATGCAGTACTTCTGGAACACTCTTTTTGAAGATTCTGCATGCGGATATTTGGATAGCTTTGAGGATTTCGTTGGAAACGGGCTTACATGTAAAAATTAGACAGCAGCATTCTCAGAAACTTCTTTGTGGTGTCTGCATTCAAGTCACAGAATTGAACTTCCCCTCACATAGAGCAGTTGTGCAGCACTCTATTTGTAGTATCTGGAAGTGGACATTTGGAGGGCTTTGTAGCCTATCTGGAAAAAGGAAATATCTTCCCATGAATGCGAGATAGAAGTAATCTCAGAAACATGTTTATGCTGTATCTACTCAACTAACTGTGCTGAACATTTCTATTGATAGAGCAGTTTTGAGACACTCTTCTTTTGGAATCTGCAAGTGGATATTTGGATAGATTTGAGGATTTCGTTGGAAATGGGATTATATATAAAAAGTAGACAGCAGCATTCTCAGAAACTTCTTTGTGATGTTTGCATCCAGCTCTCAGAGTTGAACATTCCCTTTCATAGAGTAGGTTTGAAACCCTCTTTTTATAGTGTCTGGAAGCGGGCATTTGGAGCGCTTTCAGGCCTATGCTGAAAAAGGAAATATCTACCTATAGAAACTAGACAGAAGCATTCTGAGAATCACGTTTGTGATGTGGGTACTCAACTAACAGTGTTGATCCATTCTTTTGATACAGCAGTTTTGAACCACACCTTTTGTAGAATCTGCAAGTGGATATTTGGATAGCTGTGAGGATTTCGTTGGAAACGGGAATGTCTTCATAGAAAATTTAGACAGAAGCATTCTCAGAACCTTGATTGTGATGTGTGTTCTCCACTAACAGGGATGAACCTTTCTTTTGACAGAACTGTTCTGAAACATTCTTTGTATAGAATCTGGAAGTGGATATTTGGAAAGCTTTGAGGATTTCGTTGGAAACGGGAATATCTTCAAATCAAATCTAGCCAGAAGCATTCTAAGAAACATCTTAGGGATGTTTACATTCAAGTCACAGAGTTGAACATTCCCTTTCACAGAGCAGGTTTGAAACAATCTTCTCGTACTATCTGGCAGTGGACATTTTGAGCTCCTTGGGGCCTATGCTGAAAAAGGAAATATCTTCCGACAAAAACTAGACAGAAGCATTCGCAGAATTCACGTTTGTGATGTGTGCACTCAACTGTCAGAATTGAACCTTGGTTTGGACAGAGCACTTTTGAAACACTCTTTTTGTAGAATCTGCAGGTGGATATTTGGCTAGCTTTGAGGATTTCGTTGGAAACGGTAATGTCTTCAAAGAAAATCTAGACAGAAGCATTCTCAGAAACACCTTCGTGATGTTTGCAATCAAGTCACAGAGTTGAACCTTCCGTTTCATAGAGCAGGTTGGAAACACTCTTTTTGTAGTATCTGGAAGTGGACATTTGGAGCGCTTTCAGGCCTATGGTGAAAAAGGAAATATCTTCCCATAAAAACGACATAGAAGCTATCTCAGGAACTTGTTTATGATGCATCTAATCAACTAACAGTGTTGAACCTTTGTACTGACAGAACAGTTTGAAACACTCTTTTTTTGGAATCTGCAAGTGGATATTTGGATCGCTTTGAGGATTTCGTTGGAAACGGGATGCAATATAAAACGTACACAGCAGCATACTCAGAAAATACTTTGCCATATTTCCATTCAAGTCACAGAGTGGAACATTCCCATTCATAGAGCAGGTTGGAAACACTCTTTTTGGAGTATCTGGAAGTGGACATTTGGAGCGCTTTCTGAACTATGGTGAAAAAGGAAATATCTTCCAATGAAAACAAGACAGAAGCATTCTGAGAAACTTATTTGTGATGCGTGTCCTCAACTAACGGACTCGAACCTTTCGTTTCATGCAGTACTTCTGGAACACTCTTTTTGAAGATTCTGCATGCGGATATTTGGTTAGCTTTGAGGATTTCGTTGGAAACGGGCTTACATATAAAAATTAGACAGCAGCATTCTCAGAAACTTCTTTGTGGTGTCTGCATTCAAGTCACAGAATTGAACATCCCCTCACATAGAGCAGTTGTGCAGCACTCTATTTGTAGTATCTCGAAGTGGACATTTGGAGGGCTTTGTAGCCTATCTGGAAAAAGGAAATATCTTCCCATGAATGCGAGATAGAAGTAATCTCAGAAACAGGTTTATGCTGTATCTACTCAAGTAACTGTGCTGAACATTTCTATTGATAGAGCAGTTTTGAGACACTCTTCTTTTGGAATCTGCAAGTGGATATTTGGATAGATTTGAGGATTTCGTTGGAAACGGGATTATATATCAAAAGTAGACAGCAGCATTCTCAGAAACTTCTTTGTGATGTTTGCATCCAGCTCTCAGAGTTGAACATTCCCTTTCATAGAGTAGGTTTGAAACCCCCTTTTTATAGTGTCTGGAAGCGGGCATTTGGAGCGCTTTCAGGCCTATGCTGAAAAAGGAAATATCTACCTACAGAAACTAGACAGAAGCATTCTGAGAATCACGTTTGTGATGTGGGTACTCAACTAACAGTGTTGATCCATTCTTTTGATACAGCAGTTTTGAACCACACTTTTTGTAGAATCTGCAAGTGGATATTTGGATAGCTGTGAGGATTTCGTTGGAAACGGGAATGTCTTCATAGAAAATTTAGACAGAAGCATTCTCAGAACCTTGATTGTGATGTGTGTTCTCCACTAACAGAGTTGAACCTTTCTTTTGACAGAACTGTTCTGAAACATTCTTTTTATAGAATCTGAAAGTGGATATTTGGAAAGCTTTGAGGATTTCGTTGGAAACGGGAATATCTTCAAATCAAATCTAGCCAGAAGCATTCTAAGAAACATCTTAGGGATGTTTACATTCAAGTCACAGAGTTGAACATTCCCTTTCACAGAGCAGGTTTGAAACAATCTTCTCGTACTATCTGGCAGTGGACATTTTGAGCTCCTTGGGGCCTATGCTGAAAAAGGAAATATCTTCCAACAAAAACTAGACAGAAGCATTCGCAGAATCACGTTTGTGATGTGTGCACTCAACTGTCAGAATTGAACCTTGGTTTGGACAGAGCACTTTTGAAACACTCTTTTTGTAGAATCTGCAGGTGGATATTTGGCTAGCTTTGAGGATTTCGTTGGAAACGGTAATGTCTTCAAAGAAAATCTAGACAGAAGCATTCTCAGAAACACCTTCGTGATGTTTGCAATCAAGTCACAGAGTTGAACCTTCCGTTTCATAGAGCAGGTTGGAAACACTCTTTTTGTAGTATCTGGAAGTGGACATTTGGAGTGCTTTCAGGCCTATGGTGAAAAAGGAAATATCTTCCCATAAAAACGACATAGAAGCTATCTCAGGAACTTGTTTATGATGCATCTAATCAACTAACAGTGTTGAACCTTTGTACTGACAGAGCACTTTGAAACACTCTTTTTTTGGAATCTGCAAGTGGATATTTGGATCGCTTTGAGGATTTCGTTGGAAACGGGATGCAATATAAAACGTACACAGCAGCATACTCAGAAAATACTTTGCCATATTTCCATTCAAGTCACAGAGTGGAACATTCCCATTCATAGAGCAGGTTGGAAACACTCTTTTTGGAGTATCTGGAAGTGGACATTTGGAGCGCTTTCTGAACTATGGTGAAAAAGGAAATATCTTCCAATGAAAACAAGACAGAAGCATTCTGAGAAACTTATTTGTGATGTGTGTCCTCAACAAACGGACTTGAACCTTTCGTTTCATGCAGTACTTCTGGAACACTCTTTTTGAAGATTCTGCATGCGGATATTTGGATAGCTTTGAGGATTTCGTTGGAAACGGGCTTACATGTAAAAATTAGACAGCAGCATTCTCAGAAACTTCTTTGTGGTGTCTGCATTCAAGTCACAGAATTGAACATCCCCTCACATAGAGCAGTTGTGCAGCACTCTTTTTGTAGTATCTGGAAGTGGACATTTGGAGGGCTTTGTAGCCTATCTGGAAAAAGGAAATATCTTCCCATGAATGCGAGATAGAAGTAATCTCAGAAACATGTTTATGCTGTATCTACTCAACTAACTGTGCTGAACATTTCTATTGATAGAGCAGTTTTGAGACACTCTTCTTTTGGAATCTGCAAGTGGATATTTGGATAGATTTGAGGATTTCGTTGGAAACGGGATTATATATAAAAAGTAGACAGCAGCATTCTCAGAAACTTCTTTGTGATGTTTGCATCCAGCTCTCAGAGTTGAACATTCCCTTTCATAGAGTAGGTTTGAAACCCTCTTTTTATAGTGTCTGGAAGCGGGCATTTGGAGCGCTTTCAGGCCTATGCTGAAAAAGGAAATATCTACCTATAGAAACTAGACAGAAGCATTCTGAGAATCACGTTTGTGATGTGGGTACTCAACTAACAGTGTTGATCCATTCTTTTGATACAGCAGTTTTGAACCACACTTTTTGTAGAATCTGCAAGTGGATATTTGGATAGCTGTGAGGATTTCGTTGGAAACGGGAATGTCTTCATAGAAAATTTAGACAGAAGCATTCTCAGAACCTTGATTGTGATGTGTGTTCTCCACTAACAGAGTTGAACCTTTCTTTTGACAGAACTGTTCTGAAACATTCTTTTTATAGAATCTGGAAGTGGATATTTGGAAAGCTTTGAGGATTTCGTTGGAAACGGGAATATCTTCAAATAAAATCTAGCCAGAAGCATTCTAAGAAACATCTTAGGGATGTTTACATTCAAGTCACAGAGTTGAACATTCCCTTTCACAGAGCAGGTTTGAAACAATCTTCTCGTACTATCTGGCAGTGGACATTTTGAGCTCCTTGGGGCCTATGCTGAAAAAGGAAATATCTTCCGACAAAAACTAGACAGAAGCATTCGCAGAATCACGTTTGTGATGTGTGCACTCAACTGTCAGAATTGAACCTTGGTTTGGACAGAGCACTTTTGAAACACTCTTTTTGTAGAATCTGCAGGTGGATATTTGGCTAGCTTTGAGGATTTCGTTGGAAACGGTAATGTCTTCAAAGAAAATCTAGACAGAAGCATTCTCAGAAACACCTTCGTGATGTTTGCAATCAAGTCACAGAGTTGAACCTTCCGTTTCATAGAGCAGGTTGGAAACACTCTTTTTGTAGTATCTGGAAGTGGACATTTGAAGGGCTTTGTAGCCTATGTGGAAAAAGGAAATATCTTCCCATGAATGCGAGATAGAAGCTATCTCAGGAACTTGTTTATGATGCATCTAATCAACTAACAGTGTTGAACCTTTGTACTGACAGAGCAGTTTGAAACACTCTTTTTTTGGAATCTGCAAGTGGATATTTGGATCGCTTTGAGGATTTCGTTGGAAACGGGATGCAATATAAAACGTACACAGCAGCATACTCAGAAAATACTTTGCCATATTTCCATTCAAGTCACAGAGTGGAACATTCCCATTCATAGAGCAGGTTTGAAACACTCTTTTTAGAGTATCTGGAAGTGGACATTTGGAGCGCTTTCTGAACTATGGTGAAAAAGGAAATATCTTCCAATGAAAACAAGACAGAAGCATTCTGAGAAACTTATTTGTGATGTGTGTCCTCAACAAACGGACTTGAACCTTTCGTTTCATGCAGTACTTCTGGAACACTCTTTTTGAAGATTCTGCATGCGGATATTTGGATAGCTTTGAGGATTTCGTTGGAAACGGGCTTACATGTAAAAATTAGACAGCAGCATTCTCAGAAACTTCTTTGTGGTGTCTGCATTCAAGTCACAGAATTGAACTTCCCCTCACATAGAGCAGTTGTGCAGCACTCTATTTGTAGTATCTCGAAGTGGACATTTGGAGGGCTTTGTAGCCTACTTGGAAAAAGGAAATATCTTCCCATGAATGCGAGATAGAAGTAATCTCAGAAACATGTTTATGCTGTATCTACTCAACTAACTGTGCTGAACATTTCTATTGATAGAGCAGTTTTGAGACACTCTTCTTTTGGAATCTGCAAGTGGATATTTGGAGAGATTTGAGGATTTCGTTGGAAACGGGATTATATATAAAAAGTAGACAGCAGCATTCTCAGAAACTTCTTTGTGATGTTTGCATCCAGCTCTCAGAGTTGAACATTCCCTTTCATAGAGTAGGTTTGAAACCCTCTTTTTATAGTGTCTGGAAGCGGGCATTTGGAGCGCTTTCAGGCCTATGCTTAAAATAGGAAATATCTACCTACAGAAACTAGACAGAAGCATTCTGAGAATCACGTTTGTGATGTGGGTACTCAACTAACAGTGTTGATCCATTCTTTTGATACAGCAGTTTTGAACCACACTTTTTGTAGAATCTGCAAGCGGATATTTGGATAGCTGTGAGGATTTCGTTGGAAACGGGAATGTCTTCAAAGAAAATCTAGACAGAAGCATTCTCAGAAACACCTTCGTGATGTTTGCAATCAAGTCACAGAGTTGAACCTTCCGTTTCATAGAGCAGGTTGGAAACACTCTTATTGTAGTATCTGGAAGTGGACATTTGGAGCGCTTTCAGGCCTATGGTGAAAAAGGAAATATCTTCCCATAAAAACGACATAGAAGCTATCTCAGGAACTTGTTTATGATGCATCTAATCAACTAACAGTGTTGAACCTTTGTACTGACAGAGCAGTTTGAAACACTCTTTTTTTGGAATCTGCAAGTGGATATTTGGATCGCTTTGAGGATTTCGTTGGAAACGGGATGCAATATAAAACGTACACAGCAGCATACTCAGAAAATACTTTGCCATATTTCCATTCAAGTCACAGAGTGGAACATTCCCATTCATAGAGCAGGTTTGAAACACTCTTTTTGGAGTATCTGGAAGTGGACATTTGGAGCGCTTTCTTAACTATGGTGAAAAAGGAAATATCTTCCAATGAAAACAAGACAGAAGCATTCTGAGAAACTTATTTGTGATGTGTGTCCTCAACAAACGGACTTGAACCTTTCGTTTCATGCAGTACTTCTGGAACACTCTTTTTGAAGATTCTGCATGCGGATATTTGGATAGCTTTGAGGATTTCGTTGGAAACGGGCTTACATGTAAAAATTAGACAGCAGCATTCTCAGAAACTTCTTTGTGGTGTCTGCATTCAAGTCACAGAATTGAACTTCCCCTCACATAGAGCAGTTGTGCAGCACTCTATTTGTAGTATCTGGAAGTGGACATTTGGAGGGCTTTGTAGCCTATCTGGAAAAAGGAAATATCTTCCCATGAATGCGAGATAGAAGTAATCTCAGAAACATGTTTATGCTGTATCTACTCAACTAACTGTGCTGAACATTTCTATTGATAGAGCAGTTTTGAGACCCTCTTCTTTTGGAATCTGCAAGTGGATATTTGGATAGATTTGAGGATTTCGTTGGAAACGGGATTATATATAAAAAGTAGACAGCAGCATTCTCAGAAACTTCTTTGTGATGTTTGCATCCAGCTCTCAGAGTTGAACATTCCCTTTCATAGAGTAGGTTTGAAACCCTCTTTTTATAGTGTCTGGAAGCGGGCATTTGGAGCGCTTTCAGGCCTATGCTGAAAAAGGAAATATCTACCTATAGAAACTAGACAGAAGCATTCTGAGAATCACGTTTGTGATGTGGGTACTCAACTAACAGTGTTGATCCATTCTTTTGATACAGCAGTTTTGAACCACACTTTTTGTAGAATCTGCAAGTGGATATTTGGATAGCTGTGAGGATTTCGTTGGAAACGGGAATGTCTTCATAGAAAATTTAGACAGAAGCATTCTCAGAACCTTGATTGTGATGTGTGTTCTCCACTAACAGAGTTGAACCTTTCTTTTGACAGAACTGTTCTGAAACATTCTTTTTATAGAATCTGGAAGTGGATATTTGGAAAGCTTTGAGGATTTCGTTGGAAACGGGAATATCTTCAAATAAAATCTAGCCAGAAGCATTCTAAGAAACATCTTAGGGATGTTTACATTCAAGTCACAGAGTTGAACATTCCCTTTCACAGAGCAGGTTTGAAACAATCTTCTCGTACTATCTGGCAGTGGACATTTTGAGCTCCTTGGGGCCTATGCTGAAAAAGGAAATATCTTCCGACAAAAACTAGACAGAAGCATTCGCAGAATCACGTTTGTGATGTGTGCACTCAACTGTCAGAATTGAACCTTGGTTTGGACAGAGCACTTTTGAAACACTCTTTTTGTAGAATCTGCAGGTGGATATTTGGCTAGCTTTGAGGATTTCGTTGGAAACGGTAATGTCTTCAAAGAAAATCTAGACAGAAGCATTCTCAGAAACACCTTCGTGATGTTTGCAATCAAGTCACAGAGTTGAACCTTCCGTTTCATAGAGCAGGTTGGAAACACTCTTATTGTAGTATCTGGAAGTGGACATTTGGAGCGCTTTCAGGCCTATGGTGAAAAAGGAAATATCTTCCCATAAAAACGACATAGAAGCTATCTCAGGAACTTGTTTATGATGCATCTAATCAACTAACAGTGTTGAACCTTTGTACTGACAGAGCAGTTTGAAACACTCTTTTTTTGGAATCTGCAAGTGGATATTTGGATCGCTTTGAGGATTTCGTTGGAAACGGGATGCAATATAAAACGTACACAGCAGCATACTCAGAAAATACTTTGCCATATTTCCATTCAAGTCACAGAGTGGAACATTCCCATTCATAGAGCAGGTTTGAAACACTCTTTTTGGAGTATCTGGAAGTGGACATTTGGAGCGCTTTCTGAACTATGGTGAAAAAGGAAATATCTTCCAATGAAAACAAGACAGAAGCATTCTGAGAAACTTATTTGTGATGTGTGTCCTCAACAAACGGACTTGAACCTTTCGTTTCATGCAGTACTTCTGGAACACTCTTTTTGAAGATTCTGCATGCGGATATTTGGATAGCTTTGAGGATTTCGTTGGAAACGGGCTTACATGTAAAAATTAGACAGCAGCATTCTCAGAAACTTCTTGTGCTGTCTGCATTCAAGTCACAGAATTGAACTTCCCCTCACATAGAGCAGTTGTGCAGCACTCTATTTGTAGTATCTGGAAGTGGACATTTGGAGGGCTTTGTAGCCTATCTGGAAAAAGGAAATATCTTCCCATGAATGCGAGATAGAAGTAATCTGAGAAACATGTTTATGCTGTATCTACTCAACTAACTGTGCTGAACATTTCTATTGATAGAGCAGTTTTGAGACACTCTTCTTTTGGAATCTGCAAGTGGATATTTGGATAGATTTGAGGATTTCGTTGGAAACGGGATTATATATAAAAAGTAGACAGCAGCATTCTCAGAAACTTCTTTGTGATGTTTGCATCCAGCTCTCAGAGTTGAACATTCCCTTTCATAGAGTAGGTTTGAAACCCTCTTTTTATAGTGTCTGGAAGCGGGCATTTGGAGCGCTTTCAGGCCTATGCTTAAAATAGGAAATATCTACCTACAGAAACTAGACAGAAGCATTCTGAGAATCACGTTTGTGATGTGGGTACTCAACTAACAGTGTTGATCCATTCTTTTGATACAGCAGTTTTGAACCACACTTTTTGTAGAATCTGCAAGAGGATATTTGGATAGCTGTGAGGATTTCGTTGGAAACGGGAATGTCTTTAAAGAAAATCTAGACAGAAGCATTCTCAGAACCTTGATTGTGATGTGTGTTCTCCACTAACAGAGTTGAACCTTTCTTTTGACAGAACTGTTCTGAAACATTCTTTTTATAGAATCTGGAAGTGGATATTTGGAAAGCCTTGAGGATTTCGTTGGAAACGGGAATATCTTCAAATCAAATCTAGCCAGAAGCATTCTAAGAAACATCTTAGGGATGTTTACATTCAAGTCACAGAGTTGAACATTCCCTTTCACAGAGCAGATTTGAAACAATCTTCTCGTACTATCTGGCAGTGGACATTGTGAGCTCCTTGGGGCCTATGCTGAAAAAGGAAATATCTTCCGACAAAAACTAGACAGAAGCATTCGCAGAATCACGTTTGTGATGTGTGCACTCAACTGTCAGAATTGAACCTTGGTTTGGACAGAGCACTTTTGAAACACTCTTTTTGTAGAATCTGCAGGTGGATATTTGGCTAGCTTTAAGGATTTCGTTGGAAACGGTAATGTCTTCAAAGAAAATCTAGACAGAAAACATTCTCAGAAACACCTTCGTGATGTTTGCAATCAAGTCACAGAGTTGAACCTTCCGTTTCATAGAGCAGGTTGGAAACACTCTTTTTGTAGTATCTGGAAGTGGACATT
The DNA here is from genome assembly GCF_000001405.40 of Homo sapiens. Classification (NCBI taxonomy): domain Eukaryota; kingdom Metazoa; phylum Chordata; class Mammalia; order Primates; family Hominidae; genus Homo; species Homo sapiens. Next base: position 45,600,783 of record NC_000008.11, read on the forward strand.
TGGAGCGCTTTCAGGCCTATGGTGAAAAAGGAAATATCTTCCCATGAAAACGACATAGAAGCTATCTCAGGAACTTGTTTATGATGCATCCAATCAACTAACAGTGTTGAACCTTTGTACTGACAGAGCAGTGTGAAACACTCTTTTTTTTGGAATCTGCAAGTGGATATTTGGATCGCTTTGAGGATTTCGTTGGAAACGGGATGCAATATAAAACGTACACAGCAGCATACTCAGAAAATACTTTGCCATATTTCCATTCAAGTCACAGAGTGGAACATTCCCATTCATAGAGCAGGTTGGAAACACTCTTTTTGGAGTATCTGGAAGTGGACATTTGGAGCGCTTTCTGAACTATGGTGAAAAAGGAAATATCTTCCAATGAAAACAAGACAGAAGCATTCTGAGAAACTTATTTGTGATGTGTGTCCTCAACAAACGGACTTGAACCTTTCGTTTCATGCAGTACTTCTGGAACACTCTTTTTGAAGATTCTGCATGCGGATATTTGGATAGCTTTGAGGATTTCGTTGGAAACGGGCTTACATGCAAAAATTAGACAGCAGCATTCTCAGAAACTTCTTTGTGGTGTCTGCATTCAAGTCACAGAATTGAACTTCCCCTCACATAGAGCAGTTGTGCAGCACTCTATTTGTAGTATCTGGAAGTGGACATTTGGAGGGCTTTGTAGCCTATCTGGAAAAAGGAAATATCTTCCCATGAATGCGAGATAGAAGTAATCTCAGAAACATGTTTATGCTGTATCTACTCAACTAACTGTGCTGAACATTTCTATTGATAGAGCAGTTTTGAGACCCTCTTCTTTTGGAATCTGCAAGTGGATATTTGGATAGATTTGAGGATTTCGTTGGAAACGGGATTATATATCAAAAGTAGACAGCAGCATTCTCAGAAACTTCTTTGTGATGTTTGCATCCAGCTCTCAGAGTTGAACATTCCCTTTCATAGAGTAGGTTTGAAACCCTCTTTTTATAGTGTCTGGAAGCGGGCATTTGGAGCGCTTTCAGGCCTATGCTGAAAAAGGAGATATCTACCTATAGAAACTAGACAGAAGCATTCTGAGAATCACGTTTGTGATGTGGGTACTCAACTAACAGTGTTGATCCATTCTTTTGATACAGCAGTTTTGAACCACACTTTTTGTAGAATCTGCAAGTGGATATTTGGATAGCTGTGAGGATTTCGTTGGAAACGGGAATGTCTTCATAGAAAATTTAGACAGAAGCATTCTCAGAACCTTGATTGTGATGTGTGTTCTCCACTAACAGAGTTGAACCTTTCTTTTGACAGAACTGTTCTGAAACATTCTTTTTATAGAATCTGGAAGTGGATATTTGGAAAGCTTTGAGGATTTCGTTGGAAACGGGAATATCTTCAAATAAAATCTAGCCAGAAGCATTCTAAGAAACATCTTAGGGATGTTTACATTCAAGTCACAGAGTTGAACATTCCCTTTCACAGAGCAGGTTTGAAACAATCTTCTCGTACTATCTGGCAGTGGACATTTTGAGCTCCTTGGGGCCTATGCTGAAAAAGGAAATATCTTCCGACAAAAACTAGACAGAAGCATTTGCAGAATCACGTTTGTGATGTGTGCACTCAACTGTCAGAATTGAACCTTGGTTTGGACAGAGCACTTTTGAAACACTCTTTTTGTAGAATCTGCAGGTGGATATTTGGCTAGCTTTGAGGATTTCGTTGGAAACGGTAATGTCTTCAAAGAAAATCTAGACAGAAGCATTCTCAGAAACACCTTCGTGATGTTTGCAATCAAGTCACAGAGTTGAACCTTCCGTTTCATAGAGCAGGTTGGAAACACTCTTTTTGTAGTATCTGGAAGTGGACATTTGGAGCGCTTTCAGGCCTATGGTGAAAAAGGAAATATCTTCCCATAAAAACGACATAGAAGCTATCTCAGGAACTTGTTTATGATGCATCTAATCAACTAACAGTGTTGAACCTTTGTACTGACAGAGCAGTTTGAAACACTCTTTTTTTGGAATCTGCAAGTGGATATTTGGATCACTTTGAGGATTTCGTTGGAAACGGGATGCAATATAAAACGTACACAGCAGCATACTCAGAAAATACTTTGCCATATTTCCATTCAAGTCACAGAGTGGAACATTCCCATTCATAGAGCAGGTTTGAAACACTCTTTTTGGAGTATCTGGAAGTGGACATTTGGAGCGCTTTCTGAACTATGGTGAAAAAGGAAATATCTTCCAATGAAAACAAGACAGAAGCATTCTGAGAAACTTATTTGTGATGTGTGTCCTCAACTAACGGACTTGAACCTTTCGTTTCATGCAGTACTTCTGGAACACTCTTTTTGAAGATTCTGCATGCGGATATTTGGATAGCTTTGAGGATTTCGTTGGAAACGGGCTTACATATAAAAATTAGACAGCAGCATTCTCAGAAACTTCTTTGTGGTGTCTGCATTAAAGTCACAGAATTGAACATCCCCTCACATAGAGCAGTTGTGCAGCACTCTATTTGTAGTATCTCGAAGTGGACATTTGGAGGGCTTTGTAGCCTATCTGGAAAAAGGAAATATCTTCCCATGAATGCGAGATAGAAGTAATCTCAGAAACATGTTTATGCTGTATCTACTCAACTAACTGTGCTGAACATTTCTATTGATAGAGCAGTTTTGAGACACTCTTCTTTTGGAATCTGCAAGTGGATATTTGGATAGATTTGAGGATTTCCTTGGAAACGGGATTATATATCAAAAGTAGACAGCAGCATTCTCAGAAACTTCTTTGTGATGTTTGCATCCAGCTCTCAGAGTTGAACATTCCCCTTCATAGAGTAGGTTTGAAACCCTCTTTTTATAGTGTCTGGAAGCGGGCATTTGGAGCGCTTTCAGGCCTATGCTGAAAAAGGAAATATCTACCTATAGAAACTAGACAGAAGCATTCTGAGAATCACGTTGGTGATGTGGGTACTCAACTAACAGTGTTGATCCATTCTTTTGATACAGCAGTTTTGAACCACACTTTTTGTAGAATCTGCAAGTGGATACTTGGATAGCTGTGAGGATTTCGTTGGAAACGGGAATGTCTTCATAGAAAATTTAGACAGAAGCATTCTCAGAACCTTGATTGTGATGTGTGTTCTCCACTAACAGAGTTGGACCTTTCTGTTGACAGAACTGTTTTGAAACATTCTTTTTATAGAATCTGGAAGTGGATATTTGGAAAGCTTTGAGGATTTCGTTGGAAACGGGAATATCTTCAAATCAAATCTAGCCAGAAGCATTCTAAGAAACATCTTAGGGATGTTTACATTCAAGTCACAGAGTTGAACATTCCCTTTCACAGAGCAGGTTTGAAACAATCTTCTCGTACTATCTGGAAGTGGACATTTTGAGCTCCTTGGGGCCTATGCTGAAAAAGGAAATATCTTCCGACAAAAACTAGACAGAAGCATTCGCAGAATCACGTTTGTGATGTGTGCACTCAACTGTCAGAATTGAACCTTGGTTTGGACAGAGCACTGTTGAAACACTCTTTTTGTAGAATCCGCAGGTGGATATTTGGCTAGCTTTGAGGATTTCGTTGGAAACGGTAATGTCTTCAAAGAAAATCTAGACAGAAGCATTCTCAGAAACACCTTCGTGATGTTTGCAATCAAGTCACAGAGTTGAACCTTCCGTTTCATAGAGCAGGTTGGAAACACTCTTATTGTAGTATCTGGAAGTGGACATTTGGAGCGCTTTCAGGCCTATGGTGAAAAAGGAAATATCTTCCCATAAAAACGACATAGAAGCTATCTCAGGAACTTGTTTATGATGCATCTAATCAACTAACAGTGTTGAACCTTTGTACTGACAGAGCAGTTTGAAACACTCTTTTTTTGGAATCTGCAAGTGGATATTTGGATCGCTTTGAGGATTTCGTTGGAAACGGGATGCAATATAAAACGTACACAGCAGCATACTCAGAAAATACTTTGCCATATTTCCATTCAAGTCACAGAGTGGAACATTCCCATTCATAGAGCAGGTTGGAAACACTCTTTTTGGAGTATCTGGAAGTGGACATTTGGAGCGCTTTCTGAACTATGGTGAAAAAGGAAATATCTTCCAATGAAAACAAGACAGAAGCATTCTGAGAAACTTCTTTGTGATGTGTGTCCTCAACAAACGGACTTGAACCTTTCGTTTCATGCAGTACTTCTGGAACACTCTTTTTGAAGATTCTGCATGCGGATATTTGGATAGCTTTGAGGATTTCGTTGGAAACGGGCTTACATGTAAAAATTAGACAGCAGCATTCTCAGAAACTTCTTTGTGGTGTCTGCATTCAAGTCACAGAATTGAACTTCCCCTCACATAGAGCAGTTGTGCAGCACTCTATTTGTAGTATCTGGAAGTGGACATTTGGAGGGCTTTGTAGCCTATCTGGAAAAAGGAAATATCTTCCCATGAATGCGAGATAGAAGTAATCTCAGAAACATGTTTATGCTGTATCTACTCAACTAACTGTGCTGAACATTTCTATTGATAGAGCAGTTTTGAGACACTCTTCTTTTGGAATCTGCAAGTGGATATTTGGATAGATTTGAGGATTTCGTTGGAAACGGGATGATATATAAAAAGTAGACAGCAGCATTCTCAGAAACTTCTTTGTGATGTTTGCATCCAGCTCTCAGAGTTGAACATTCCCTTTCATAGAGTAGGTTTGAAACCCTCTTTTTATAGTGTCTGGAAGCGGGCATTTGGAGCGCTTTCAGGCCTATGCTGAAAAAGGAAATATCTACCTATGGAAACTAGACAGAAGCATTCTGAGAATCACGTTTGTGATGTGGGTACTCAACTAACAGTGTTGATCCATTCTTTTGATACAGCAGTTTTGAACCACACTTTTTGTAGAATCTGCAAGTGGATATTTGGATAGCTGTGAGGATTTCGTTGGAAACGGGAATGTCTTCATAGAAAATTTAGACAGAAGCATTCTCAGAACCTTGATTGTGATGTGTGTTCTCCACTAACAGAGTTGAACCTTTCTTTTGACAGAACTGTTCTGAAACATTCTTGTTATAGAATCTGGAAGTGGATATTTGGAAAGCTTTGAGGATTTCGTTGGAAACGGGAATATCTTCAAATCAAATCTAGCCAGAAGCATTCTAAGAAACATCTTAGGGATGTTTACATTCAAGTCACAGAGTTGAACATTCCCCTTTCTCAGAGCAGGTTTGAAACAATCTTCTCGTACTATCTGGCAGTGGACATTTTGAGCTCCTTGGGGCCTATGCTGAAAAAGGAAATATCTTCCGACAAAAACTAGACAGAAGCATTCGCAGAATCACGTTTGTGATGTGTGCACTCAACTGTCAGAATTGAACCTTGGTTTGGACAGAGCACTTTTGAAACACTCTTTTTGTAGAATCTGCAGGTGGATATTTGGCTAGCTTTGAGGATTTCGTTGGAAACGGTAATGTCTTCAAAGAAAATCTAGACAGAAGCATTCTCAGAAACACCTTCGTGATGTTTGCAATCAAGTCACAGAGTTGAACCTTCCGTTTCATAGAGCAGGTTGGAAACACTCTTTTTGTAGTATCTGGAAGTGGACATTTGGAGTGCTTTCAGGCCTATGGTGAAAAAGGAAATATCTTCCCATAAAAACGACATAGAAGCTATCTCAGGAACTTGTTTATGATGCATCTAATCAACTAACAGTGTTGAACCTTTGTACTGACAGAGCAGTTTGAAACACTCTTTTTTTGGAATCTGCAAGTGGATATTTGGATCGCTTTGAGGATTTCGTTGGAAACGGGATGCAATATAAAACGTACACAGCAGCATACTCAGAAAATACTTTGCCATATTTCCATTCAAGTCACAGAGTGGAACATTCCCATTCATAGAGCAGGTTGGAAACACTCTTTTTGGAGTATCTGGAAGTGGACATTTGGAGCGCTTTCTGAACTATGGTGAAAAAGGAAATATCTTCCAATGAAAACAAGACAGAAGCATTCTGAGAAACTTATTTGTGATGTGTGTCCTCAACAAACGGACTTGAACCTTTCGTTTCATGCAGTACTTCTGGAACACTCTTTTTGAAGATTCTGCATGCGGATATTTGGATAGCTTTGAGGATTTCGTTGGAAACGGGCTTACATGTAAAAATTAGACAGCAGCATTCTCAGAAACTTCTTTGTGGTGTCTGCATTCAAGTCACAGAATTGAACATCCCCTCACATAGAGCAGTTGTGCAGCACTCTATTTGTAGTATCTCGAAGTGGACATTTGGAGGGCTTTGTAGCCTATCTGGAAAAAGGAAATATCTTCCCATGAATGCGAGATAGAAGTAATCTCAGAAACATGTTTATGCTGTATCTACTCAACTAACTGTGCTGAACATTTCTATTGATAGAGCAGTTTTGAGACACTCTTCTTTTGGAATCTGCAAGTGGATATTTGGATAGATTTGAGGATTTCGTTGGAAACGGGATTATATATAAAAAGTAGACAGCAGCATTCTCAGAAACTTCTTTGTGATGTTTGCATCCAGCTCTCAGAGTTGAACATTCCCTTTCATAGAGTAGGTTTGAAACCTTCTTTTTATAGTGTCTGGAAGCGGGCATTTGGAGCGCTTTCAGGCCTATGCTGAAAAAGGAAATATCTACCTATAGAAACTAGACAGAAGCATTCTGAGAATCACGTTTGTGATGTGGGTACTCAACTAACAGTGTTGATCCATTCTTTTGATACAGCAGTTTTGAACCACACTTTTTGTAGAATCTGCAAGTAGATATTTGGATAGCTGTGAAGATTTCGTTGGAAACGGGAATGTCTTCATAGAAAATTTAGACAGAAAGCATTCTCAGAACCTTGATTGTGATGTGTGTTCTCCACTAACAGAGTTGAACCTTTCTTTTGACAGAACTGTTTTGAAACATTCTTTTTATAGAATCTGGAAGTGGATATTTGGAAAGCTTTGAGGATTTCGTTGGAAACCGGGAATATCTTCAAATAAAATCTAGCCAGAGCATTCTAAGAAACATCTTAGGGATGTTTACATTCAAGTCACAGAGTTGAACATTCCCTTTCACAGAGCAGGTTTGAAACAATCTTCTCGTACTATCTGGCAGTGGACATTTTGAGCTCCTTGGGGCCTATGCTGAAAAAGGAAATATCTTCCGACAAAAACTAGACAGAAGCATTCGCAGAATCACGTTTGTGATGTGTGCACTCAACTGTCAGAATTGAACCTTGGTTTGGACAGAGCACTTTTGAAACACTCTTTTTGTAGAATCTGCAGGTGGATATTTGGCTAGCTTTGAGGATTTCGTTGGAAACGGTAATGTCTTCAAAGAAAATCTAGACAGAAGCATTCTCAGAAATACCTTCGTGATGTTTGCAATCAAGTCACAGAGTTGAACCTTCCGTTTCATAGAGCAGGTTGGAAACACTCTTATTGTAGTATCTGGAAGTGGACATTTGGAGCGCTTTCAGGCCTATGGTGAAAAAGGAAATATCTTCCCATAAAAACGATATAGAAGCTATCTCAGGAACTTGTTTATGATGCATCTAATCAACTAACAGTGTTGAACCTTTGTACTGACAGAGCAGTTTGAAACACTCTTTTTTTGGAATCTGCAAGTGGATATTTGGATCGCTTTGAGGATTTCGTTGGAAACGGGATGCAATATAAAACGTACACAGCAGCATACTCAGAAAATACTTTGCCATATTTCCATTCAAGTCACAGAGTGGAACATTCCCATTCATAGAGCAGGTTTGAAACACTCTTTTTGGAGTCTCTGGAAGTGGACATTTGGAGCGCTTTCTGAACTATGGTGAAAAAGGAAATATCTTCCAATGAAAACAAGACAGAAGCATTCTGAGAAACTTATTTGTGATGCGTGTCCTCAACTAACGGACTCGAAGCTTTCGTTTCATGCAGTACTTCTGGAACACTCTTTTTGAAGATTCTGCATGCGGATATTTGGTTAGCTTTGAGGATTTCGTTGGAAACGGGCTTACATATAAAAATTAGACAGGAGCATTATCAAAACTTCTTTGTGGTGTCTGTATTCAAGTCACAGAATTGAACATCCCCTCACATAGAGCAGCTGTGCAGCACTCTATTTGTAGTATCTCGAAGTGGACATTTGGAGGGCTTTGTAGCCTATCTGGATAAAGGAAATATCTTCCCATGAATGCGAGATAGAAGTAATCTCAGAAACATGTTTATGCTGTATCTACTCAACTAACTGTGCTGAACATTTCTATTGATAGAGCAGTTTTGAGACACTCTTCTTTTGGAATCTGCAAGTGGATATTTGGATAGATTTGAGGATTTCGTTGGAAACGGGATTATATATCAAAAGTAGACAGCAGCATTCTCAGAAACTTCTTTGTGATGTTTGCATCCAGCTCTCAGAGTTGAGCATTCCCTTTCATAGAGTAGGTTTGAAACCCTCTTTTTATAGTGTCTGGAAGCGGGCATTTGGAGCGCTTTCAGGCCTATGCTTAAAATAGGAAATATCTACCTACAGAAACTAGACAGAAGCATTCTGAGAATCACGTTTGTGATGTGGGTACTCAACTAACAGTGTTGATCCATTCTTTTGATACAGCAGTTTTGAACCACACTTTTTGTAGAATCTGCAAGAGGATATTTGGATAGCTGTGAGGATTTCGTTGGAAACGGGAATGTCTTCAAAGAAAATCTAGACAGAAGCATTCTCAGAAACACCTTCGTGATGTTTGCAATCAAGTCACAGAGTTGAACCTTCCGTTTCATAGAGCAGGTTGGAAACACTCTTTTTGTAGTATCTGGAAGTGGACATTTGGAGCGCTTTCAGGCCTATGGTGAAAAAGGAAATATCTTCCCATAAAAACGACATAGAATCTATATCAGGAACTTGTTTATGATGCATCTAATCAACTAACAGTGTTGAACCTTTGTACTGACAGAGCAGTTTGAAACACTCTTTTTTTGGAATCTGCAAGTGGATATTTGGATCGCTTTGAGGATTTCGTTGGAAACGGGATGCAATATAAAACGTACACAGCAGCATACTCAGAAAATACTTTGCCATATTTCCATTCAAGTCACAGAGTGGAACATTCCCATTCATAGAGCAGGTTGGAAACACTCTTTTTGGAGTATCTGGAAGTGGACATTTGGAGCGCTTTCTGAACTATGGTGAAAAAGGAAATATCTTCCAATGAAAACAAGACAGAAGCTTTATGAGAAACTTATTTGTGGTGTGTGTCCTCAACAAACGGACTTGAACCTTTCGTTTCATGCAGTACTTCTGGAACACTCTTTTTGAAGATTCTGCATGCGGATATTTGGATAGCTTTGAGGATTTCATTGGAAACGGGCTTACAAGTAAAAATTAGACAGCAGCATTCTCAGAAACTTCTTTGTGGTGTCTGCATTCAAGTCACAGAATTTAACTTCCCCTCACATAGAGCAGTTGTGCAGCACTCTATTTGTAGTATCTGGAAGTGGACATTTGGAGGGCTTTGTAGCCTATCTGGAAAAAGGAAATATCTTCCCATGAATGCGAGATAGAAGTAATCTCAGAAACATGTTTATGCTGTATCTACTCAACTAACTGTGCTGAACATTTCTATTGATAGAGCAGTTTTGAGACACTCTTCTTTTGGAATCTGCAAGTGGATATTTGGATAGATTTGAGGATTTCGTTGGAAACGGGATTATATATAAAAAGTAGACAGCAGCATTCTCAGAAACTTCTTTGTGATGTTTGCATCCAGCTCTCAGAGTTGAACATTCCCTTTCATAGAGTAGGTTTGAAACCCTCTTTTTATAGTGTCTGGAAGCGGGCATTTGGAGCGCTTTCAGGCCTATGCTTAAAATAGGAAATATCTACCTACAGAAACTAGACAGAAGCATTCTGAGAATCACGTTTGTGATGTGGGTACTCAACTAACAGTGTTGATCCATTCTTTTGATACAGCAGTTTTGAACCACACTTTTTGTAGAATCTGCAAGAGGATATTTGGATAGCTGTGAGGATTTCGTTGGAAACGGGAATGTCTTCAAAGAAAATCTAGACAGAAGCATTCTCAGAAACACCTTCGTGATGTTTGCAATCAAGTCACAGAGTTGAACCTTCCGTTTCATAGAGCAGGTTGGAAACACTCTTATTGTAGTATCTGGAAGTGGACATTTGGAGCGCTTTCAGGCCTATGGTGAAAAAGGAAATATCTTCCCATCAAAACGACATAGAAGCTATCTCAGGAACTTGTTTATGATGCATCTAATCAACCAACAGTGTTGAACCTTTGTACTGACAGAGCACTTTGAAACACTCTTTTTTTGGAATCTGCAAGTGGATATTTGGATCGCTTTGAGGATTTCGTTGGAAACGGGATGCAATATAAAACGTACACAGCAGCATACTCAGAAAATACTTTGCCATATTTCCATTCAAGTCACAGAGTGGAACATTCCCATTCATAGAGCAGGTTGGAAACACTCTTTTTGGAGTATCTGGAAGTGGACATTTGGAGCGCTTTCTGAACTATGGTGAAAAAGGAAATATCTTCCAATGAAAACAAGACAGAAGCATTCTGAGAAACTTATTTGTGATGTGTGTCCTCAACAAACGGACTTGAACCTTTCGTTTCATGCAGTACTTCTGGAACACTCTTTTTGAAGATTCTGCATGCGGATATTTGGATAGCTTTGAGGATTTCGTTGGAAACGGTCTTACATGTAAAAATTAGACAGCAGCATTCTCAGAAACTTCTTTGTGGTGTCTGCATTCAAGTCACAGAATTGAACATCCCCTCACATAGAGCAGTTGTGCAGCACTCTATTTGTAGTATCTCGAAGTGGACATTTGGAGGGCTTTGTAGCCCATCTGGATAAAGGAAATATCTTCCCATGAATGCGAGATAGAAGTAATCTCAGAAACATGTTTATGCTGTATCTACTCAACTAACTGTGCTGAACATTTCTATTGATAGAGCAGTTTTGAGACACTCTTCTTTTGGAATCTGCAAGTGGATATTTGGCTAGATTTGAGGATTTCGTTGGAAACGGGATTATATATCAAAAGTAGACAGCAGCATTCTCAGAAACTTCTTTGTGATGTTTGCATCCAGCTCTCAGAGTTGAACATTCCCTTTCATAGAGTAGGTTTGAAACCCTCTTTTTATAGTGTCTGGAAGCGGGCATTTGGAGCGCTTTCAGGCCTATGCTGAAAAAGGAAATATCTACCTACAGAAACTAGACAGAAGCATTCTGAGAATCACGTTTGTGATGTGGGTACTCAACTAACAGTGTTGATCCATTCTTTTGATACAGCAGTTTTGAACCACCCTTTTTGTAGAATCTGCAAGTGGATATTTGGATAGCTGTGAGGATTTCGTTGGAAACGGGAATGTCTTCATAGAAAATTTAGACAGAAGCATTCTCAGAACCTGGATTGTGATGTGAGTTCTCCACTAACAGAGTTGAACCTTTCTTTGGACAGAACTGTTTTGAAACATTCTTTTTATAGAATCTGGAAGTGGATATTTGGAAAGCTTTGAGGATTTCGTTGGAAACGGGAATATCTTCAAATAAAATCTAGCCAGAAGCATTCTAAGAAACATCTTAGGGATGTTTACATTCAAGTCACAGAGTTGAACATTCCCCTTTCTCAGAGCAGGTTTGAAACAATCTTCTCGTACTATCTGGCAGTGGACATTTTGAGCTCCTTGGGGCCTATGCTGAAAAAGGAAATATCTTCCGACAAAAACTAGACAGAAGCATTCGCAGGAATCACGTTTGTGATGTGTGCACTCAATTGTCAGCAATTGAACCTTGGTTTGGACAGAGCACTTTTGAAACACTCTTTTTGTAGAATCTGCAGGTGGATATTTGGCTAGCTTTGAGGATTTCGTTGGAAACGGTAATGTCTTCAAAGAAAATCTACACAGAAGCATTCTCAGAAACACCTTCGTGATGTTTGCAATCAAGTCACAGAGTTGAACCTTCCGTTTCATAGAGCAGGTTGGAAACACTCTTTTTGTAGTATCTGGAAGTGGACATTTGGAGGGCTTTGTAGCCTATGTGGAAAAAGGAAATATCTTCCCATGAATGCGAGATAGAATCTATATCAGGAACTTGTTTATGATGCATCTAATCAACTAACAGTGTTGAACCTTTGTACTGACAGAGCAGTTTGAAACACTCTTTTTTTGGAATCTGCAAGTGGATATTTGGATCGCTTTGAGGATTTCGTTGGAAACGGGATGCAATATAAAACGTACACAGCAGCATACTCAGAAAATACTTTGCCATATTTCCATTCAAGTCAGAGAGTGGAACATTCCCATTCATAGAGCAGGTTTGAAACACTCTTTTTGGAGTATCTGGAAGTGGACATTTGGAGCGCTTTCTGAACTATGGTGAAAAAGGAAATATCTTCCAATGAAAACAAGACAGAAGCATTCTGAGAAACTTATTTGTGATGTGTGTCCTCAACAAACGGACTTGAACCTTTCGTTTCATGCAGTACTTCTGGAACACTCTTTTTGAAGATTCTGCATGCGGATATTTGGATAGCTTTGAGGATTTCGTTGGAAACGGGCTTACATGTAAAAATTAGACAGCAGCATTCTCAGAAACTTCTTTGTGGTGTCTGCATTCAAGTCACAGAATTGAACATCCCCTCACATAGAGCAGTTGTGCAGCACTCTATTTGTAGTATCTGGAAGTGGACATTTGGAGGGCTTTGTAGCCTATGTGGAAAAAGGAAATATCTTCCCATGAATGCGAGATAGAAGTAATCTCAGAAACATGTTTATGCTGTATCTACTCAACTAACTGTGCTGAACATTTCTATTGATAGAGCAGTTTTGAGACACTCTTCTTTTGGAATCTGCAAGTGGATATTTGGATAGATTTGAGGATTTCGTTGGAAACGGGATTATATATAAAAAGTAGACAGCAGCATTCTCAGAAACTTCTTTGTGATGTTTGCATCCAGCTCTCAGAGTTGAACATTCCCTTTCATAGAGTAGGTTTGAAACCCTCTTTTTATAGTGTCTGGAAGCGGGCATTTGGAGCGCTTTCAGGCCTATGCTGAAAAAGGAAATATCTACCTATAGAAACTAGACAGAAGCATTCTGAGAATCACGTTTGTGATGTGGGTACTCAACTAGCAGTGTTGATCCATTCTTTTGATACAGCAGTTTTGAACCACACTTTTTGTAGAATCTGCAAGTGGATATTTGGATAGCTGTGAGGATTTCGTTGGAAACGGGAATGTCTTCATAGAAAATTTAGACAGAAGCATTCTCAGAACCTTGATTGTGATGTGTGTTCTCCACTAACAGAGTTGAACCTTTCTTTTGACAGAACTGTTCTGAAACATTCTTTTTATAGAATCTGGAAGTGGATATTTGGAAAGCTTTGAGGATTTCGTTGGAAACGGGAATATCTTCAAATCAAATCTAGCCAGAAGCATTCTAAGAAACATCTTAGGGATGTTTACATTCAAGTCACAGAGTTGAACATTCCCTTTCACAGAGCAGGTTTGAAACAATCTTCTCGTACTATCTGGCAGTGGACATTTTGAGCTCCTTGGGGCCTATGCTGAAAAAGGAAATATCTTCCGACAAAAACTAGACAGAAGCATTCGCAGAATCACGTTTGTGATGTGTGCACTCAACTGTCAGAATTGAACCTTGGTTTGGACAGAGCACTTTTGAAACACTCTTTTTGTAGAATCTGCAGGTGGATATTTGACTAGCTTTGAGGATTTCGTTGGAAACGGTAATGTCTTCAAAGAAAATCTAGACAGAAACATTCTCAGAAACACCTTCGTGATGTTTGCAATCAAGTCACAGAGTTGAACCTTCCGTTTCATAGAGCAGGTTGGAAACACTCTTTTTGTAGTATCTGGAAGTGGACATTTGGAGCGCTTTCAGGCCTATGGTGAAGAAGGAAATATCTTCCCATAAAAACGACATAGAAGCTATCTCAGGAACTTGTTTATGATGCATCCAATCAACTAACAGTGTTGAACTTTTGTACTGACAGAGCAGTGTGAAACACTCTATTTTTTCGAATCTGCAAGTGGATATTTGGATCGCTTTGAGGATTTCGTTGGAAACGGGATGCAATATAAATCGTACACAGCAGCATACTCAGTAAAATACTTTGCCATATTTCCATTCAAGTCACAGAGTGGAACATTCCCATTCATAGAGCAGGTTTGAAACACTTTTTTTGGAGTGTCTGGAAGTGGACATTTGGAGCGCTTTCAGAACTATGGTGAAAAAGGAAATATCTTCCAATGAAAACAAGACAGAAGCATTCTGAGAAACTTATTTCTGATGCGTATCCTCAACTAACGGACTCGAACCTTTCGTTTCATGCAGTACTTCTGGAACACTCTTTTTGAAGATTCTGCATGCGGATATTTGGTTAGCTTTGAGGATTTCGTTGGAAACGGGCTTACATGTAAAAATTAGACAGCAGCATTCTCAGAAACTTCTCCTGTGGTGTCTGCATCCAAGTCACAGAATTGAACATCCCCTCACATAGAGCAGTTGTGCAGCACTCTATTTGTAGTATCTCGAAGTGGACATTTGGAGGGCTTTGTAGCCTATCTGGAAAAAGGAAATATCTTCCCATGAATGCGAGATAGAAGTAATCTCAGAAACATGTTTATGCTGTATCTACTCAACTAACTGTGCTGAACATTTCTATTGATAGAGCAGTTTTGAGACACTCTCCTGTTGGAATCTGCAAGTGGATATTTGGATAGATTTGAGGATTTCCTTGGAAACGGGAATATATATCAAAAGTAGACAGCAGCATTCTCAGAAACTTCTTTGTGATGTTTGCATCCAGCTCTCAGAGTTGAACATTCCCTTTCATAGAGTAGGTTTGAAACCCTCTTTTTATAGTGTCTGGAAGCGGGCATTTGGAGCGCTTTCAGGCCTATGCTTAAAATAGGAAATATCTACCTACAGAAACTAGACAGAAGCATTCTGAGAATCACGTTTGTGATGTGGGTACTCAACTAACAGTGTTGATCCATTCTTTTGATACAGCAGTTTTGAACCACACTTTTTGTAGAATCTGCAAGAGGATATTTGGATAGCTGTGAGGATTTCGTTGGAAACGGGAATGTCTTCAAAGAAAATCTAGACAGAAGCATTCTCAGAAACACCTTCGTGATGTTTGCAATCAAGTCACAGAGTTGAACCTTCCGTTTCATAGAGCAGGTTGGAAACACTCTTATTGTAGTATCTGGAAGTGGACATTTGGAGCGCTTTCAGGCCTATGGTGAAAAAGGAAATATCTTCCCATAAAAACGACATAGAAGCTATCTCAGGAACTTGTTTATGATGCATCTAATCAACTAACAGTGTTGAACCTTTGTACTGACAGAGCAGTTTGAAACACTCTTTTTTTGGAATCTGCAAGTGGATATTTGGATCGCTTTGAGGATTTCGTTGGAAACGGGATGCAATATAAAACGTACACAGCAGCATACTCAGAAAATACTTTGCCATATTTCCATTCAAGTCACAGAGTGGAACATTCCCATTCATAGAGCAGGTTGGAAACACTCTTTTTGGAGTATCTGGAAGTGGACATTTGGAGCGCTTTCTGAACTATGGTGAAAAAGGAAATATCTTCCAATGAAAACAAGACAGAAGCATTCTGAGAAACTTATTTGTGATGTGTGTCCTCAACAAACGGACTTGAACCTTTCGTTTCATGCAGTACTTCTGGAACACTCTTTTTGAAGATTCTGCATGCGGATATTTGGATTGCTTTGAGGATTTCGTTGGAAACGGGCTTACATGTAAAAATTAGACAGCAGCATTCTCAGAAACTTCTTTGTGGTGTCTGCATTCAAGTCACAGAATTGAACATCCCCTCACATAGAGCAGTTGTGCAGCACTCTATTTGTAGTATCTGGAAGTGGACATTTGGAGGGCTTTGTAGCCTATCTGGAAAAAGGAAATATCTTCCCATGAATGCGAGATAGAAGTAATCTCAGAAACATGTTTATGCTGTATCTACTCAACTAACTGTGCTGAACATTTCTATTGATAGAGCAGTTTTGAGACACTCTTCTTTTGGAATCTGCAAGTGGATATTTGGATAGATTTGAGGATTTCGTTGGAAACGGGATTATATATAAAAAGTAGACAGCAGCATTCTCAGAAACTTCTTTGTGATGTTTGCATCCAGCTCTCAGAGTTGAACATTCCCTTTCATAGAGTAGGTTTGAAACCCTCTTTTTATAGTGTCTGGAAGCGGGCATTTGGAGCGCTTTCAGGTCTATGCTTAAAATAGGAAATATCTACCTACAGAAACTAGACAGAAGCATTCTGAGAATCACGTTTGTGATGTGGGTACTCAACTAACAGTGTTGATCCATTCTTTTGATACAGCAGTTTTGAACCACACTTTTTGTAGAATCTGCAAGAGGATATTTGGATAGCTGTGAGGATTTCGTTGGAAACGGGAATGTCTTCAAAGAAAATCTAGACAGAAGCATTCTCAGAAACACCTTCGTGATGTTTGCAATCAAGTCACAGAGTTGAACCTTCCGTTTCATAGAGCAGGTTTGAAACACTCTTATTGTAGTATCTGGAAGGGGACATTTGGAGCGCTTTCAGGCCTATGGTGAAAAAGGAAATATCTTCCCATAAAAACGACATAGAAGCTGTCTCAGGAACTTGTTTATGATGCATCTAATCAACTAACAGTGTTGAACCTTTGTACTGACAGAGCAGTTTGAAACACTCTTTTTTTGGAATCTGCAAGTGGATATTTGGATCGCTTTGAGGATTTCGTTGGAAACGGGATGCAATATAAAACGTACACAGCAGCATACTCAGAAAATACTTTGCCATATTTCCATTCAAGTCACAGAGTGGAACATTCCCATTCATAGAGCAGGTTGGAAACACTCTTTTTGGAGTATCTGGAAGTGGACATTTGGAGCGCTTTCTGAACTATGGTGAAAAAGGAAATATCTTCCAATGAAAACAAGACAGAAGCATTCTGAGAAACTTCTTTGTGATGTGTGTCCTCAACAAACGGACTTGAACCTTTCGTTTCATGCAGTACTTCTGGAACACTCTTTTTGAAGATTCTGCATGCGGATATTTGGATAGCTTTGAGGATTTCGTTGGAAACGGGCTTACATGTAAAAATTAGACAGCAGCATTCTCAGAAACTTCTTTGTGGTGTCTGCATTCAAGTCACAGAATTGAACTTCCCCTCACATAGAGCAGTTGTGCAGCACTCTATTTGTAGTATCTGGAAGTGGACATTTGGAGGGCTTTGTAGCCTATCTGGAAAAAGGAAATATCTTCCCATGAATGCGAGATAGAAGTAATCTCAGAAACATGTTTATGCTGTATCTACTCAACTAACTGTGCTGAACATTTCTATTGATAGAGCAGTTTTGAGACACTCTTCTTTTGGAATCTGCAAGTGGATATTTGGAGAGATTTGAGGATTTCGTTGGAAACGGGATTATATATAAAAAGTAGACAGCAGCATTCTCAGAAACTTCTTTGTGAGTTTTGCATCCAGCTCTCAGAGTTGAACATTCCCTTTCGTGGAGTAGGTTTGAAACCCTCTTTTTATAGTGTCTGGAAGCGGGCATTTGGAGCGCTTTCAGGCCTATGCTGAAAAAGGAAATATCTACCTATAGAAACTAGACAGAAGCATTCTGAGAATCACGTTTGTGATGTGGGTACTCAACTAACAGTGTTGATCCATTCTTTTGATACAGCAGTTTTGAACCACACTTTTTGTAGAATCTGCAAGTGGATATTTGGATAGCTGTGAGGATTTCCTTGGAAACGGGAATGTCTTCATAGAAAATTTAGACAGAAGCATTCTCAGAACCTTGATTGTGATGTGTGTTCTCCACTAACAGGGTTGAACCTTTCTTTTGACAGAACTGTTCCGAAACATTCTTTTTATAGAATCTGGAAGTGGATATTTGGAAAGCTTTGAGGATTTCGATGGAAACGGGAATATCTTCAAATCAAATCTAGCCAGAAGCATTCTAAGAAACATCTTAGGGATGTGTACATTCAAGTCACAGAGTTGAACATTCCCCTTTCTCAGAGCAGGTTTGAAACAATCTTCTCGTACTATCTGGCAGTGGACATTTTGAGCTCCTTGGGGCCTATGCTGAAAAAGGAAATATCTTCCGACAAAAACTAGACAGAAGCATTCGCAGAATCACGTTTGTGATGTGTGCACTCAACTGTCAGAATTGAACCTTGGTTTGGAGAGAGCACTTTTGAAACACTCTTTTTGTAGAATCTGCAGGTGGATATTTGGCTAGCTTTGAGGATTTCGTTGGAAACGGTAATGTCTTCAAAGAAAATCTAGACAGAAGCATTCTCAGAAACACCTTCGTGATGTTTGCAATCAAGTCACAGAGTTGAACCTTCCGTTTCATAGAGCAGGTTGCAAACACTCTTTTTGTAGTATCTAGAAGTGGACATTTGGAGCGCTTTCAGGCCTATGGTGAAAAAGGAAATATCTTCCAATAAAAACGACATAGAAGCCATCTCAGGAACTTGTTTATGATGCATCCAATCAACTAACAGTGTTGAACCTTTGTACTGACAGAGCAGTGTGAAACACTCTTTTTTTTTGGAATCTGCAAGTGGATATTTGGATCGCTTTGAGGATTTCGTTGGAAACGGGATGCAATATAAAACGTACACAGCAGCATACTCAGAAAATACTTTGCCATATTTCCATTCAAGTCACAGAGTGGAACATTCCCATTCATAGAGCAGGTTTGAAACACTCTTTTTGGAGTATCTGGAAGTGGACATTTGGAGCGCTTTCTGAACTATGGTGAAAAAGGAAATAACTTCCAATGAAAACAAGACAGAAGCATTCTGAGAAACTTATTTGTGATGTGTGTCCTCAACAAACGGACTTGAACCTTTCGTTTCATGCAGTACTTCTGGAACACTCTTTTTGAAGATTCTGCATGCGGATATTTGGATAGCTTTGAGGATTTCGTTGGAAACGGGCTTACATGTAAAAATTAGACAGCAGCATTCTCAGAAACTTCTTTGTGGTGTCTGCATTCAAGTCACAGAATTGAACTTCCCCTCACATAGAGCAGTTGTGCAGCACTCTATTTGTAGTATCTGGAAGTGGACATTTGGAGGGCTTTGTAGCCTATCTGGAAAAAGGAAATATCTTCCCATGAATGCGAGATAGAAGTAATCTCAGAAACATGTTTATGCTGTATCTACTCAACTAACTGTGCTGAACATTTCTATTGATAGAGCAGTTTTGAGACACTCTTCTTTTGGAATCTGCAAGTGGATATTTGGATAGATTTGAGGATTTCGTTGGAAACGGGATTATATATCAAAAGTAGACAGCCGCATTCTCAGAAACTTCTTTGTGATGTTTGCATCCAGCTCTCAGAGTTGAACATTCCCTTTCGTAGAGTAGGTTTGAAACCCTCTTTTTATAGTTTCTGGAAGCGGGCATTTGGAGCGCTTTCAGGCCTATGCTGAAGAAGGAAATATCTACCTCTAGAAACTAGACAGAAGCATTCTGAGAATCACGTTTGTGATGTGGGTACTCAACTAACAGTGTTGATCCAATCTTTTGATACAGCAGTTTTCAACCACACTTTTTGTAGAATCTGCAAGTGGATATTTGGATAGCTGTGAGGATTTCCTTGGAAACGGGAATGCCTTCATAGAAAATTTAGACAGAAGCATTCTCAGAACATTGATTGTGATGTGTGTTCTCCACTAACAGAGTTGAACCTTTCTTTTGACAGAACTGTTCTGAAACATTCTTTTTATAGAATCTGGAAGTGGATATTTGGAAAGCTTTGAGGATTTCGTTGTAAACGGGAATATCTTCAAATCAAATCTAGCCAGAAGCATTCTAAGAAACATATTAGGGATGTTTACATTCAAGTCACAGAGTTGAACATTCCCTTTCACAGAGCAGGTTTGAAACAATCTTCTCGTACTATCTGGAAGTGGACATTTTGTGCTCCTTGGGGCCTATGCTGAAAAAGGAAATATCTTCCGACAAAAACTAGACAGAAGCATTCGCAGAATCACGTTTGTGATGTGTGCACTCAACTGTCAGAATTGAACCTTTGTTTGGACAGAGCACTTTTGAAACACTCTTTTTGTAGAATCTGCAGGTGGATATTTGACTAGCTTTGAGGATTTCGTTGGAAATGGTAATGTCTTCAAAGAAAATCTAGACAGAAACATTCTCAGAAACACCTTCGTGATGTTTGCAATCAAGTCACAGAGTTGAACCTTCCGTTTCATAGAGCAGGTTGGAAACACTCTTTTTGTAGTACCTGGAAGTGGACATTTGGAGCGCTTTCTGGCCTATGGTGAAGAAGGAAATATCTTCCCATAAAAACGACATAGAAGCTATCTCAGGAACTTGTTTATGATGCATCTAATCAACTAACAGTGTTGAACCTTTGTACTGACAGAGCAGTGTGAAACACTCTTTTTTTTGGAATCTGCAAGTGGATATTTGGATCGCTTTGAGGATTTCGTTGGAAACGGGATGCAATATAAAACGTACACAGCAGCATACTCAGAAAATACTTTGCCATATTTCCATTCAAGTCACAGAGTGGAACATTCCCATTCATAGAGCAGGTTTGACACACTCTTTTTGTAGTATCTGGAAGTGGACATTTGGAGCGCTTTCTGAACTATGGTGAAAAAGGAAATATCTTCCAATGAAAACAAGACAGAAGCATTCTGAGAAACTTATTTGTGATGTGTGTCCTCAACTAACGGACTTGAACCTTTCGTTTCATGCAGTAATTCTGGAACACTCTTTTTGAAGATTCTGCATGCGGATATTTGGATAGCTTTGAGGATTTCGTTGGAAACGGGCTTACATATAAAAATTAGACAGCAGCATTCTCAGAAACTTCTCCTGTGGTGTCTGCATCCAAGTCACAGAATTGAACATCCCCTCACATAGAGCAGTTGTGCAGCACTCTATTTGTAGTATCTCGAAGTGGACATTTGGAGGGCTTTGTAGCCTATCTGGAAAAAGGAAATATCTTCCCATGAATGCGAGATAGAAGTAATCTCAGAAACATGTTTATGCTGTATCTACTCAACTAACTGTGCTGAACATTTCTATTGATAGAGCAGTTTTGAGACACTCTTCTTTTGGAATCTGCAAGTGGATATTTGGATAGATTTGAGGATTTCGTTGGAAACGGGATTATATATAAAAAGTAGACAGCAGCATTCTCAGAAACTTCTTTGTGATGTTTGCATCCAGCTCTCAGAGTTGAACATTCCCTTTCATAGAGTAGGTTTGAAACCCTCTTTTTATAGTGTCTGGAAGCGGGCATTTGGAGCGCTTTCAGGCCTATGCTGAAAAAGGAAATATCTACCTATAGAAACTAGACAGAAGCATTCTGAGAATCACGTTTGTGATGTGGGTACTCAACTAACAGTGTTGATCCATTCTTTTGATACAGCAGTTTTGAACCACACTTTTTGTAGAATCTGCAAGTGGATATTTGGATAGCTGTGAGGATTTCGTTGGAAACGGGAATGTCTTCATAGAAAATTTAGACGGAAGCATTCTCAGAACCTTGATTGTGATGTGTGTTCTCCACTAACAGGGTTGAACCTTTCTTTTGACAGAACTGTTTTGAAACATTCTTTTTATAGAATCTGGAAGTGGATATTTGGAAAGCTTTGAGGATTTCGTTGGAAACGGGAATATCTTCAAATAAAATCTAGCAAGAAGCATTCTAAGAAACATCTTAGGGATGTTTACATTCAAGTCACAGAGTTGAACATTCCCTTTCACAGAGCAGGTTTGAAACAATCTTCTGGTACTATCTGGAAGTGGACATTTTGAGCTCCTTGGAGCCTATGCTGAAAAAGGAAATATCTTCCGACAAAAACTAGACAGAAGCATTCGCAGAATCACGTTTGTGATGTGTGCACTCAACTGTCAGAATTGAACCTTGGTTTGGACAGAGCACTTTTGAAACACTTTTTGTAGAATCTGCAGGTGGATATTTGGCTAGCTTTGAGGATTTCGTTGGAAACGGTAATGTCTTCAAAGAAAATCTAGACAGAAACATTCTCAGAAACACCTTCGTGATGTTTGCAATCAAGTCACAGAGTTGAACCTTCCGTTTCATAGGGCAGGTTGGAAACACTCTTTTTGTAGTATCTGGAAGTGGACATTTGGAGCGCTTTCAGGCCTATGGTGAAAAAGGAAATATCTTCCCATAAAAACGACATAGAAGCTATCTCAGGAACTTGTTTATGATGCATCCAATCAACTAACAGTGTTGAACTTTTGTACTGACAGAGCAGTGTGAAACACTCTTTTTTTTGGAATCTGCAAGTGGATATTTGGATCGCTTTGAGGATTTCGTTGGAAACGGGATGCAATATAAATCGTACACAGCAGCATACTCAGAAAATACTTTGCCATATTTCCATTCAAGTCACAGAGTGGAACATTCCCATTCATAGAGCAGGTTTGAAACACTCTTTTTGGAGTATCTGGAAGTGGACATTTGGAGCGCTTTCTGAACTATGGTGAAAAAGGAAATATCTTCCAATGAAAACAAGACAGAAGCATTCTGAGAAACTTATTTGTGATGTGTGTCCTCAACAAACGGACTTGAACCTTTCGTTTCATGCAGTACTTCTGGAACACTCTTTTTGAAGATTCTGCATGCGGATATTTGGATAGCTTTGAGGATTTCGTTGGAAACGGGCTTACATGTAAAAATTAGACAGCAGCATTCTCAGAAACTTCTTTGTGGTGTCTGCATTCAAGTCACAGAATTGAACATCCCCTCACATAGAGCAGTTGTGCAGCACTCTATTTGTAGTATCTGGAAGTGGACATTTGGAGGGCTTTGTAGCCTATCTGGAAAAAGGAAATATCTTCCCATGAATGCGAGATAGAAGTAATCTCAGAAACATGTTTATGCTGTATGTACTCAACTAACTGTGCTGAACATTTCTATTGATAGAGCAGTTTTGAGACACTCTTCTTTTGGAATCTGCAAGTGGATATTTGGATAGATTTGAGGATTTCCTTGGAAACGGGATTATATATAAAAAGTAGACAGCAGCATTCTCAGAAACTTCTTTGTGATGTTTGCATCCAGCTCTCAGAGTTGAACATTCCCTTTCATAGAGTAGGTTTGAAACCCTCTTTTTATAGTGTCTGGAAGCGGGCATTTGGAGCGCTTTCGGGCCTATGCTGAAAAAGGAAATATCTACCTATAGAAACTAGACAGAAGCATTCTGAGAATCACGTTTGTGATGTGGGTACTCAACTAACAGTGTTGATCCATTCTTTTGATACAGCAGTTTTGAACCACACTTTTTGTAGAATCTGCAAGTGGATATTTGGATAGCTGTGAGGATTTCGTTGGAAACTGGAATGTCTTCATAGAAAATTTAGACAGAAGCATTCTCAGAACCTTGATTGTGATGTGTGTTCTCCACTAACAGAGTTGAACCTTTCTTTTGACAGAACTGTTCTGAAACATTCTTGTTATAGAATCTGGAAGTGGATATTTGGAAAGCTTTGAGGATTTCGTTGGAAACGGGAATATCTTCAAATCAAATCTAGCCAGAAGCATTCTAAGAAACAGCTTAGGGATGTTTACATTCAAGTCACAGAGTTGAACATTCCCTTTCACAGAGCAGGTTTGAAACAATCTTCTCGTACTATCTGGCAGTGGACATTTTGAGCTCCTTGGGGCCTATGCTGAAAAAGGAAATATCTTCCGACAAAAACTAGACAGAAGCATTCGCAGAATCACGTTTGTGATGTGTGCACTCAACTGTCAGAATTGAACCTTGGTTTGGACAGAGCACTTTTGAAACACTCTTTTTGTAGAATCTGCAGGTGGATATTTGGCTAGCTTTGAGGATTTCGTTGGAAACGGTAATGTCTTCAAAGAAAATCTAGACAGAAGCATTCTGAGGAACACCTTCGTGATGTTTGCAATCAAGTCACAGAGTTGAACCTTCCGTTTCATAGAGCAGGTTGGAAACACTCTTATTGTAGTATCTGGAAGTGGACATTTGGAGCGCTTTCAGGCCTATGGTGAAAAAGGAAATATCTTCCCATAAAAACGACATAGAAGCTGTCTCAGGAACTTGTTTATGATGCATCTAATCAACTAACAGTGTTGAACCTTTGTACTGACAGAGCAGTTTGAAACACTCTTTTTTTGGAATCTGCAAGTGGATATTTGGATCGCTTTGAGGATTTCGTTGGAAACGGGATGCAATATAAAACGTACACAGCAGCATACTCAGAAAATACTTTGCCATATTTCCATTCAAGTCACAGAGTGGAACATTCCCATTCATAGAGCAGGTTTGAAACACTCTTTTTGGAGTATCTGGAAGTGGACATTTGGAGCGCTTTCTGAACTATGGTGAAAAAGGAAATATCTTCCAATGAAAACAAGACAGAAGCATTCTGAGAAACTTATTTGTGATGTGTGTCCTCAACAAACGGACTTGAACCTTTCGTTTCATGCAGTACTTCTGGAACACTCTTTTTGAAGATTCTGCATGCGGATATTTGGATAGCTTTGAGGATTTCGTTGGAAACGGGCTTACATGTAAAAATTAGACAGCAGCATTCTCAGAAACTTCTTTGTGGTGTCTGCATCCAAGTCACAGAATTGAACTTCCCCTCACATAGAGCAGTTGTGCAGCACTCTATTTGTAGTATCTGGAAGTGGACATTTGGAGGGCTTTGTAGCCTATCTGGAAAAAGGAAATATCTTCCCATGAATGCGAGATAGAAGTAATCTCAGAAACATGTTTATGCTGTATCTACTCAACTAACTGTGCTGAACATTTCTATTGATAGAGCAGTTTTGAGACACTCTTCTTTTGGAATCTGCAAGTGGATATTTGGATAGATTTGAGGATTTCGTTGGAAACGGGATTATATATAAAAAGTAGACAGCAGCATTCTCAGAAACTTCTTTGTGATGTTTGCATCCAGCTCTCAGAGTTGAACATTCCCTTTCATAGAGTAGGTTTGAAACCCTCTTTTTATAGTGTCTGGAAGCGGGCATTTGGAGCGCTTTCAGGCCTATGCTGAAAAAGGAAATATCTACCTATAGAAACTAGACAGAAGCATTCTGAGAATCACGTTTGTGATGTGGGTACTCAACTAACAGTGTTGATCCATTCTTTTGATACAGCAGTTTTGAACCACACTTTTTGTAGAATCTGCAAGTGGATATTTGGATAGCTGTGAGGATTTCGTTGGAAACGGGAATGTCTTCATAGAAAATTTAGACAGAAGCATTCTCAGAACCTTGATTGTGATGTGTGTTCTCCACTAACAGGGTTGAACCTTTCTTTTGACAGAACTGTTTTGAAACATTCTTTTTATAGAATCTGGAAGTGGATATTTGGAAAGCTTTGAGGATTTCGTTGGAAACGGGAATATCTTCAAATAAAATCTAGCCAGAAGCATTCTAAGAAACATCTTAGGGATGTTTACATTCAAGTCACAGAGTTGAACATTCCCTTTCACAGAGCAGGTTTGAAACAATCTTCTCGTACTATCTGGAAGTGGACATTTTGAGCTCCTTGGGGCCTATGCTGAGAAAGGAAATATCTTCCGACAAAAACTAGACAGAAGCATTCGCAGAATCACGTTTGTGATGTGTGCACTCAACTGTCAGAATTGAACCTTGGTTTGGACAGAGCACTTTTGAAACACTCTTTTTGTAGAATCTGCAGGTGGATATTTGGCTAGCTTTGAGGATTTCGTTGGAAACGATAATGTCTTCAAAGAAAATCTAGACAGAATCATTCTCAGAAACACTTTCGTGTTGTTTGCAATCAAGTCACAGAGTTGAACCTTCCGTTTCATAGAGCAGGTTGGAAACACTCTTTTTGTAGTATCTGGAAGTGGACATTTG
The DNA here is from genome assembly GCF_000001405.40 of Homo sapiens. NCBI lineage: Eukaryota > Metazoa > Chordata > Mammalia > Primates > Hominidae > Homo > Homo sapiens. The sequence goes on from NC_000008.11 coordinate 45,626,769, forward strand.
GAGCGCTTTCAGGCCTACGGTGAAAAAGGAAATATCTTCCCATAAAAACGACATAGAAGCTATCTCAGGAACTTGTTTATGATGCATCTAATCAACTAACAGTGTTGAACCTTTGTACTGACAGAGCAGTTTGAAACACTCTTTTTTTGGAATCTGCAAGTGGATATTTGGATCGCTTTGAGGATTTCGTTGGAAACGGGATGCAATATAAAACGTACACAGCAGCATACTCAGAAAATACTTTGCCATATTTCCATTCAAGTCACAGAGTGGAACATTCCCATTCATAGAGCAGGTTGGAAACACTCTTTTTGGAGTATCTGGAAGTGGACATTTGGAGCGCTTTCTGAACTATGGTGAAAAAGGAAATATCTTCCAATGAAAACAAGACAGAAGCATTCTGAGAAACTTATTTGTGATGTGTGTCCTCAACAAACGGACTTGAACCTTTCGTTTCATGCAGTACTTCTGGAACACTCTTTTTGAAGATTCTGCATGCGGATATTTGGATAGCTTTGAGGATTTCGTTGGAAACGGGCTTACATGTAAAAATTAGACAGCAGCATTCTCAGAAACTTCTTTGTGGTGTCTGCATTCAAGTCACAGAATTGAACTTCCCCTCACATAGAGCAGTTGTGCAGCACTCTATTTGTAGTATCTGGAAGTGGACATTTGGAGGGCTTTGTAGCCTATCTGGAAAAAGGAAATATCTTCCCATGAATGCGAGATAGAAGTAATCTCAGAAACATGTTTATGCTGTATCTACTCAACTAACTGTGCTGAACATTTCTATTGATAGAGCAGTTTTGAGACACTCTTCTTTTGGAATCTGCAAGTGGATATTTGGATAGATTTGAGGATTTCGTTGGAAACGGGATTATATATCAAAAGTAGACAGCAGCATTCTCAGAAACTTCTTTGTGATGTTTGCATCCAGCTCTCAGAGTTGGACATTCCCTTTCATAGAGTAGGTTTGAAACCCTCTTTTTATAGTGTCTGGAAGCGGGCATTTGGAGCGCTTTCAGGCCTATGCTTAAAATAGGAAATATCTACCTACAGAAACTAGACAGAAGCATTCTGAGAATCACGTTTGTGATGTGGGTACTCAACTAACAGTGTTGATCCATTCTTTTGATACAGCAGTTTTGAACCACACTTTTTGTAGAATCTGCAAGAGGATATTTGGATAGCTGTGAGGATTTCGTTGGAAACGGGAATGTCTTCAAAGAAAATCTAGACAGAAACATTCTCAGAAACACCTTCGTGATGTTTGCAATCAAGTCACAGAGTTGAACCTTCCGTTTCATAGAGCAGGTTGGAAACACTCTTTTTGTAGTATCTGGAAGTGGACATTTGGAGCGCTTTCAGGCCTATGGTGAAAAAGGAAATATCTTCCCATAAAAACGACATAGAAGCTATCTCAGGAACTTGTTTATGATGCATCTAATCAACTAACAGTGTTGAACCTTTGTACTGACAGAGCACTTTGAAACACTCTTTTTTTGGAATCTGCAAGTGGATATTTGGATCGCTTTGAGGATTTCGTTGGAAACGGGATGCAATATAAAACGTACACAGCAGCATACTCAGAAAATACTTTGCCATATTTCCATTCAAGTCACAGAGTGGAACATTCCCATTCATAGAGCAGGTTGGAAACACTCTTTTTGGAGTATCTGGAAGTGGACATTTGGAGCGCTTTCTGAACTATGGTGAAAAAGGAAATATCTTCTAATGAAAACAAGACAGAAGCATTCTGAGAAACTTATTTGTGATGTGTGTCCTCAACAAACGGACTTGAACCTTTCGTTTCATGCAGTACTTCTGGAACACTCTTTTTGAAGATTCTGCATGCGGATATTTGGATAGCTTTGAGGATTTCGTTGGAAACGGGCTTACATGTAAAAATTAGACAGCAGCATTCTCAGAAACTTCTTTGTGGTGTCTGCATTCAAGTCACAGAATTGAACATCCCCTCACATAGAGCAGTTGTGCAGCACTCTATTTGTAGTATCTGGAAGTGGACATTTGGAGGGCTTTGTAGCCTATGTGGAAAAAGGAAATATCTTCCCATGAATGCGAGATAGAAGTAATCTCAGAAACATGTTTATGCTGTATCTACTCAACTAACTGTGCTGAACATTTCTATTGATAGAGCAGTTTTGAGACACTCTTCTTTTGGAATCTGCAAGTGGATATTTGGATAGATTTGAGGATTTCGTTGGAAACGGGATTATATATAAAAAGTAGACAGCAGCATTCTCAGAAACTTCTTTGTGATGTTTGCATCCAGCTCTCAGAGTTGAACATTCCCTTTCATAGAGTAGGTTTGAAACCCTCTTTTTATAGTGTCTGGAAGCGGGCATTTGGAGCGCTTTCAGGCCTATGCTTAAAATAGGAAATATCTACCTACAGAAACTAGACAGAAGCATTCTGAGAATCACGTTTGTGATGTGGGTACTCAACTAACAGTGTTGATCCATTCTTTTGATACAGCAGTTTTGAACCACACTTTTTGTAGAACCTGCAAGAGGATATTTGGATAGCTGTGAGGATTTCGTTGGAAACGGGGATGTCTTCAAAGAAAATCTAGACAGAAGCATTCTCAGAAACACCTTCGTGATGTTTGCAATCAAGTCACAGAGTTGAACCTTCCGTTTCATAGAGCAGGTTGGAAACACTCTTATTGTAGTATCTGGAAGTGGACATTTGGAGCGCTTTCAGGCCTATGGTGAAAAAGGAAATATATTCCCATAAAAACGACATAGAAGCTATCTCAGGAACTTGTTTATGATGCATCTAATCAACTAACAGTGTTGAACCTTTGTACTGACAGAGCAGTTTGAAACACTCTTTTTTTGGAATCTGCAAGTGGATATTTGGATCGCTTTGAGGATTTCGTTGGAAACGGGATGCAATATAAAACGTACACAGCAGCATACTCAGCAAAATACTTTGCCATATTTCCATTCAAGTCACAGAGTGGAACATTCCCATTCATAGAGCAGGTTGGAAACACTCTTTTTGGAGTATCTGGAAGTGGACATTTGGAGCGCTTTCTGAACTATGGTGAAAAAGGAAATATCTTCCAATGAAAACAAGACAGAAGCATTCTGAGAAACTTATTTGTGATGTGTGTCCTCAACTAACGGACTTGAACCTTTCGTTTCATGCAGTACTTCTGGAACACTCTTTTTGAAGATTCTGCATGCGGATATTTGGATAGCTTTGAGGATTTCGTTGGAAACGGGCTTACATATAAAAATTAGACAGCAGCATTCTCAGAAACTTCTTTGTGGTGTCTGCATTCAAGTCACAGAATTGAACATCCCCTCACATAGAGCAGTTGTGCAGCACTCTATTTGTTGTATCTCGAAGTGGACATTTGGAGGGCTTTGTAGCCTATCTGGAAAAAGGAAATATCTTCCCATGAATGCGAGATAGAAGTAATCTCAGAAACATGTTTATGCTGTATCTACTCAACTAACTGTGCTGAACATTTCTATTGATAGAGCAGTTTTCAGACACTCTTCTTTTGGAATCTGCAAGTGGATATTTGGATAGATTTGAGGATTTCGTTGGAAACGGGATTATATATAAAAAGTAGACAGCAGCATTCTCAGAAACTTCTTTGTGATGTTTGCATCCAGCTCTCAGAGTTGAACATTCCCTTTCATAGAGTAGGTTTGAAACCCTCTTTTTATAGTGTCTGGAAGCGGGCATTTGGAGCGCTTTCAGGCCTATGCTGAAAAAGGAAATATCTACCTATAGAAACTAGACAGAAGCATTCTGAGAATCACGTTTGTGATGTGGGTACTCAACTAACAGTGTTGATCCATTCTTTTGATACAGCAGTTTTGAACCACACTTTTTGTAGAATCTGCAAGTGGATATTTGGATAGCTGTGAGGATTTCGTTGGAAACGGGAATGTCTTCATAGAAAATTTAGACAGAAGCATTCTCAGAACCTTGATTGTGATGTGTGTTCTCCACTAACAGAGTTGAACCTTTCTTTTGACAGAACTGTTCTGAAACATTCTTTTTATAGAATCTGGAAGTGGATATTTGGAAAGCTTTGAGGATTTCGTTGGAAACGGGAATATCTTCAAATCAAATCTAGCCAGAAGCATTCTAAGAAACATCTTAGGGATGTTTACATTCAAGTCACAGAGTTGAACATTCCCTTTCACAGAGCAGGTTTGAAACAATCTTCTCGTACTATCTGGCAGTGGACATTTTGAGCTCCTTGGGGCCTATGCTGAAAAAGGAAATATCTTCCGACAAAAACTAGACAGAAGCATTCGCAGAATCACGTTTGTGATGTGTGCACTCAACTGTCAGAATTGAACCTTGGTTTGGACAGAGCACTTTTGAAACACTCTTTTTGTAGAATCTGCAGGTGGATATTTGGCTAGCTTTGAGGATTTCGTTGGAAACGGTAATGTCTTCAAAGAAAATCTAGACAGAAGCATTCTCAGAAACACCTTCGTGATGTTTGCAATCAAGTCACAGAGTTGAACCTTCCGTTTCATAGAGCAGGTTGGAAACACTCTTTTTGTAGTATCTGGAAGTGGACATTTGGAGGGCTTTGTAGCCTATCTGGAAAAAGGAAATATCTTCCCATGAATGCGAGATAGAATCTATATCAGGAACTTGTTTATGATGCATCTAATCAACTAACAGTGTTGAACCTTTGTACTGACAGAGCAGTTTGAAACACTCTTTTTTTGGAATCTGCAAGTGGATATTTGGATCGCTTTGAGGATTTCGTTGGAAACGGGATGCAATATAAAACGTACACAGCAGCATACTCAGAAAATACTTTGCCATATTTCCATTCAAGTCAGAGAGTGGAACATTCCCATTCATAGAGCAGGTTGGAAACACTCTTTTTGGAGTATCTGGAAGTGGACATTTGGAGCGCTTTCTGAACTATGGTGAAAAAGGAAATATCTTCCAATGAAAACAAGACAGAAGCATTCTGAGAAACTTATTTGTGATGTGTGTCCTCAACAAACGGACTTGAACCTTTCGTTTCATGCAGTACTTCTGGAACACTCTTTTTGAAGATTCTGCATGCGGATATTTGGATAGCTTTGAGGATTTCGTTGGAAACGGGCTTACATGTAAAAATTAGACAGCAGCATTCTCAGAAACTTCTTTGTGGTGTCTGCATTCAAGTCACAGAATTGAACTTCCCCTCACATAGAGCAGTTGTGCAGCACTCTATTTGTAGTATCTCGAAGTGGACATTTGGAGGGCTTTGTAGCCTATCTGGAAAAAGGAAATATCTTCCCATGAATGCGAGATAGAAGTAATCTCAGAAACATGTTTATGCTGTATCTACTCAACTAACTGTGCTGAACATTTCTATTGATAGAGCAGTTTTGAGACACTCTTCTTTTGGAATCTGCAAGTGGATATTTGGATAGATTTGAGGATTTCGTTGGAAACGGGATTATATATCAAAAGTAGACAGCAGCATTCTCAGAAACTTCTTTGTGATGTTTGCATCCAGCTCTCAGAGTTGAACATTCCCTTTCATAGAGTAGGTTTGAAACCCTCTTTTTATAGTGTCTGGAAGCGGGCATTTGGAGCGCATTCAGGCCTATGCTTAAAATAGGAAATATCTACCTACAGAAACTAGACAGAAGCATTCTGAGAATCACGTTTGTGATGTGGGTACTCAACTAACAGTGTTGATCCATTCTTTTGATACAGCAGTTTTGAACCACACTTTTTGTAGAATCTGCAAGAGGATATTTGGATAGCTGTGAGGATTTCGTTGGAAACGGGAATGTCTTCAAAGAAAATCTAGACAGAAGCATTCTCAGAAACACCTTCGTGATGTTTGCAATCAAGTCACAGAGTTGAACCTTCCGTTTCATAGAGCAGGTTGGAAACACTCTTATTGTAGTATCTGGAAGTGGACATTTGGAGCGCTTTCAGGCCTATGGTGAAAAAGGAAATATCTTCCCATAAAAACGACATAGAAGCTATCTCAGGAACTTGTTTATGATGCATCTAATCAACTAACAGTGTTGAACCTTTGTACTGACAGAGCAGTTTGAAACACTTTTTTTTTGGAATCTGCAAGTGGATATTTGGATCGCTTTGAGGATTTCGTTGGAAACGGGATGCAATATAAAACGTACACAGCAGCATACTCAGAAAATACTTTGCCATATTTCCATTCAAGTCACAGAGTGGAACATTCCCATTCATAGAGCAGGTTGGAAACACTCTTTTTGGAGTATCTGGAAGTGGACATTTGGAGCGCTTTCTGAACTATGGTGAAAAAGGAAATATCTTCCAATGAAAACAAGACAGAAGCATTCTGAGAAACTTATTTGTGATGTGTGTCCTCAACAAACGGACTTGAACCTTTCGTTTCATGCAGTACTTCTGGAACACTCTTTTTGAAGATTCTGCATGCGGATATTTGGATAGCTTTGAGGATTTCGTTGGAAACGGGCTTACATGTAAAAATTAGACAGCAGCATTCTCAGAAACTTCTTTGTGGTGTCTGCATTCAAGTCACAGAATTGAACTTCCCCTCACATAGAGCAGTTGTGCAGCACTCTATTTGTAGTATCTGGAAGTGGACATTTGGAGGGCTTTGTAGCCTATCTGGAAAAAGGAAATATCTTCCCATGAATGCGAGATAGAAGTAATCTCAGAAACATGTTTATGCTGTATCTTCTCAACTAACTGTGCTGAACATTTCTATTGATAGAGCAGTTTTGAGACACTCTTCTTTTGGAATCTGCAAGTGGATATTTGGATAGATTTGAGGATTTCGTTGGAAACGGGATTATATATAAAAAGTAGACAGCAGCATTCTCAGAAACTTCTTTGTGATGTTTGCATCCAGCTCTCAGAGTTGAACATTCCCTTTCATAGAGTAGGTTTGAAACCCTCTTTTTATAGTGTCTGGAAGCGGGCATTTGGAGCGCTTTCAGGCCTATGCTTAAAATAGGAAATATCTACCTACAGAAACTAGACAGAAGCATTATGAGAATCTCGTTTGTGATGTGGGTACTCAACTAACAGTGTTGATCCATTCTTTTGATACAGCAGTTTTGAACCACACTTTTTGTAGAATCTGCAAGAGGATATTTGGATAGCTGTGAGGATTTCGTTGGAAACGGGAATGTCTTCAAAGAAAATCTAGACAGAAGCATTCTCAGAAACACCTTCGTGATGTTTGCAATCAAGTCACAGAGTTGAACCTTCCGTTTCATAGAGCAGGTTGGAAACACTCTTATTGTAGTATCTGGAAGTGGACATTTGGAGCGCTTTCAGGCCTATGGTGAAAAAGGAAATATCTTCCCATAAAAACGACATAGAAGCTATCTCAGGAACTTGTTTATGATGCATCTAATCAACTAACAGTGTTGAACCTTTGTACTGACAGAGCAGTTTGAAACACTCTTTTTTTGGAATCTGCAAGTGGATATTTGGATCGCTTTGAGGATTTCGTTGGAAACGGGATGCAATATAAAACGTACACAGCAGCATACTCAGAAAATACTTTGCCATATTTCCATTCAAGTCACAGAGTGGAACATTCCCATTCATAGAGCAGGTTTGAAACACTTTTTTTGGAGTGTCTGGAAGTGGACATTTGGAGCGCTTTCAGAACTATGGTGAAAAAGGAAATATCTTCCAATGAAAACAAGACAGAAGCATTCTGAGAAACTTATTTGTGATGCGTGTCCTCAACTAACGGACTCGAACCTTTCGTTTCATGCAGTACTTCTGGAACACTCTTTTTGAAGATTCTGCATGCGGATATTTGGATAGCTTTGAGGATTTCGTTGGAAACGGGCTTACATATAAAAATTAGACAGCAGCATTCTCAGAAACTTCTTTGTGGTGTCTGCATTCAAGTCACAGAATTGAACTTCCCCTCACATAGAGCAGTTGTGCAGCACTCTATTTGTAGTATCTGGAAGTGGACATTTGGAGGGCTTTGTAGCCTATCTGGAAAAAGGAAATATCTTCCCATGAATGCGAGATAGAAGTAATCTCAGAAACATGTTTATGCTGTATCTACTCAACTAACTGTGCTGAACATTTCTATTGATAGAGCAGTTTTGAGACACTCTTCTTTTGGAATCTGCAAGTGGATATTTGGATAGATTTGAGGATTTCGTTGGAAACGGGATTATATATAAAAAGTAGACAGCAGCATTCTCAGAAACTTCTTTGTGATGTTTGCATCCAGCTCTCAGAGTTGAACATTCCCTTTCATAGAGTAGGTTTGAAACCCTCTTTTTATAGTGTCTGGAAGTGGGCATTTGGAGCGCTTTCAGGCCTATGCTTAAAATAGGAAATATCTACCTACAGAAACTAGACAGAAGCATTCTGAGAATCACGTTTGTGATGTGGGTACTCAACTAACAGTGTTGATCCATTCTTTTGATACAGCAGTTTTGAACCACACTTTTTGTAGAATCTGCAAGTGGATATTTGGATAGCTGTGAGGATTTCGTTGGAAACGGGAATGTCTTCATAGAAAATTTAGACAGAAGCATTCTCAGAACCTTGATTGTGATGTGTGTTCTCCACTAACAGAGTTGAACCTTTCTTTTGACAGAACTGTTCTGAAACATTCTTTTTATAGAATCTGGAAGTGGATATTTGGAAAGCTTTGAGGATTTCGTTGGAAACGGGAATATCTTCAAATCAAATCTAGCCAGAAGCATTCTAAGAAACATCTTAGGGATGTTTACATTCAAGTCACAGAGTTGAACATTCCCCTTTCTCAGAGCAGGTTTGAAACAATCTTCTCGTACTATCTGGCAGTGGACATTTTGAGCTCCTTGGGGCCTATGCTGAAAAAGGAAATATCTTCCGACAAAAACTAGACAGAAGCATTCGCAGAATCACGTTTGTGATGTGTGCACTCAACTGTCAGAATTGAACCTTGGTTTGGACAGAGCACTTTTGAAACACTCTTTTTGTAGAATCTGCAGGTGGATATTTGGCTAGCTTTGAGGATTTCGTTGGAAACGGTAATGTCTTCAAAGAAAATGCTAGACAGAAGCATTCTCAGAAACACCTTCGTGATGTTTGCAATCAAGTCACAGAGTTGAACCTTCCGTTTCATAGAGCAGGTTGGAAACACTCTTTTTGTAGTATCTGGAAGTGGACATTTGGAGGGCTTTGTAGCCTATCTGGAAAAAGGAAATATCTTCCCATGAATGCGAGATAGAAGCTATCTCAGGAACTTGTTTATGATGCATCTAATCAACTAACAGTGTTGAACCTTTGTACTGACAGAGCAGTTTGAAACACTCTTTTTTTGGAATCTGCAAGTGGATATTTGGATCGCTTTGAGGATTTCGTTGGAAACGGGATGCAATATAAAACGTACACAGCAGCATACTCAGAAAATACTTTGCCATATTTCCATTCAAGTCACAGAGTGGAACATTCCCATTCATAGAGCAGGTTTGAAACACTCTTTTTGGAGTATCTGGAAGTGGACATTTGGAGCGCTTTCTGAACTATGGTGAAAAAGGAAATATCTTCCAATGAAAACAAGACAGAAGCATTCTGAGAAACTTATTTGTGATGTGTGTCCTCAACAAACGGACTTGAACCTTTCGTTTCATGCAGTACTTCTGGAACACTCTTTTTGAAGATTCTGCATTCGGATATTTGGATAGCTTTGAGGATTTCGTTGGAAACGGGCTTACATGTAAAAATTAGACAGCAGCATTCTCAGAAACTTCTTTGTGGTGTCTGCATTCAAGTCACAGAATTTAACTTCCCCTCACATAGAGCAGTTGTGCAGCACTCTATTTGTAGTATCTGGAAGTGGACATTTGGAGGGCTTTGTAGCCTATCTGGAAAAAGGAAATATCTTCCCATGAATGCGAGATAGAAGTAATCTCAGAAACATGTTTATGCTGTATCTACTCAACTAACTGTGCTGAACATTTCTATTGATAGAGCAGTTTTGAGACACTCTTCTTTTGGAATCTGCAAGTGGATATTTGGATAGATTTGAGGATTTCGTTGGAAACGGGATTATATATAAAAAGTAGACAGCAGCATTCTCAGAAACTTCTTTGTGATGTTTGCATCCAGCTCTCAGAGTTGAACATTCCCTTTCATAGAGTAGGTTTGAAACCCTCTTTTTATAGTGTCTGGAAGCGGGCATTTGGAGCGCTTTCAGGCCTATGCTGAAAAAGGAAATATCTACCTATAGAAACTAGACAGAAGCATTCTGAGAATCACGTTTGTGATGTGGGTACTCAACTAACAGTGTTGATCCATTCTTTTGATACAGCAGTTTTGAACCACACTTTTTGTAGAATCTGCAAGTGGATATTTGGATAGCTGTGAGGATTTCGTTGGAAACGGGAATGTCTTCATAGAAAATTTAGACAGAAGCATTCTCAGAACCTTGATTGTGATGTGTGTTCTCCACTAACAGAGTTGAACCTTTCTTTTGACAGAACTGTTCTGAAACATTCTTTTTATAGAATCTGGAAGTGGATATTTGGAAAGCTTTGAGGATTTCGTTGGAAACGGGAATATCTTCAAATCAAATCTAGCCAGAAGCATTCTAAGAAACATCTTAGGGATGTTTACATTCAAGTCACAGAGTTGAACATTCCCTTTCACAGAGCAGGTTTGAAACAATCTTCTCGTACTATCTGGCAGTGGACATTTTGAGCTCCTTGGGGCCTATGCTGAAAAAGGAAATATCTTCCGACAAAAACTAGACAGAAGCATTCGCAGAATCACGTTTGTGATGTGTGCACTCAACTGTCAGAATTGAACCTTGGTTTGGACAGAGCACTTTTGAAACACTCTTTTTGTAGAATCTGCAGGTGGATATTTCGCTAGCTTTGAGGATTTCGTTGGAAACGGTAATGTCTTCAAAGAAAATCTAGACAGAAACATTCTCAGAAACACCTTCGTGATGTTTGCAATCAAGTCACAGAGTTGAACCTTCCGTTTCATAGAGCAGGTTGGAAACACTCTTATTGTAGTATCTGGAAGTGGACATTTGGAGCGCTTTCAGGCCTATGGTGAAAAAGGAAATATCTTCCCATAAAAACAACATAGAAGCTATCTCAGGAACTTGTTTATGATGCATCTAATCAACTAACAGTGTTGAACCTTTGTACTGACAGAGCAGTTTGAAACACTCTTTTTTTGGAATCTGCAAGTGGATATTTGGATCGCTTTGAGGATTTCGTTGGAAACGGGATGCAATATAAAACGTACACAGCAGCATACTCAGAAAATACTTTGCCATATTTCCATTCAAGTCAGAGAGTGGAACATTCCCATTCATAGAGCAGGTTTGAAACACTCTTTTTGGAGTATCTGGAAGTGGACATTTGGAGCGCTTTCTGAACTATGGTGAAAAAGGAAATATCTTCCAATGAAAACAAGACAGAAGCATTCTGAGAAACTTATTTGTGATGTGTGTCCTCAACAAACGGGACTTGAACCTTTCGTTTCATGCAGTACTTCTGGAACACTCTTTTTGAAGATTCTGCATGCGGATATTTGGATAGCTTTGAGGATTTCGTTGGAAACGGGCTTACATGTAAAAATTAGACAGCAGCATTCTCAGAAACTTCTTTGTGGTGTCTGCATTCAAGTCACAGAATTGAACTTCCCCTCACATAGAGCAGTTGTGCAGCACTCTATTTGTAGTATCTCGAAGTGGACATTTGGAGGGCTTTGTAGCCTATCTGGAAAAAGGAAATATCTTCCCATGAATGCGAGATAGAAGTAATCTCAGAAACATGTTTATGCTGTATCTACTCAACTAACTGTGCTGAACATTTCTATTGATAGAGCAGTTTTGAGACACTCTTCTTTTGGAATCTGCAAGTGGATATTTGGATAGATTTGAGGATTTCGTTGGAAACGGGATTATATATCAAAAGTAGACAGCAGCATTCTCAGAAACTTCTTTGTGATGTTTGCATCCAGCTCTCAGAGTTGAGCATTCCCTTTCATAGAGTAGGTTTGAAACCCTCTTTTTATAGTGTCTGGAAGCGGGCATTTGGAGCGCTTTCAGGCCTATGCTTAAAATAGGAAATATCTACCTACAGAAACTAGACAGAAGCATTCTGAGAATCACGTTTGTGATGTGGGTACTCAACTAACAGTGTTGATCCATTCTTTTGATACAGCAGTTTTGAACCACACTTTTTGTAGAATCTGCAAGTGGATATTTGGATAGCTGTGAGGATTTCGTTGGAAACGGGAATGTCTTCATAGAAAATTTAGACAGAAGCATTCTCAGAACCTTGATTGTGATGTGTGTTCTCCACTAACAGGGTTGAACCTTTCTTTTGACAGAACTGTTCTGAAACATTCTTTGTATAGAATCTGGAAGTGGATATTTGGAAAGCTTTGAGGATTTCGTTGGAAACGGGAATATCTTCAAATCAAATCTAGCCAGAAGCATTCTAAGAAACATCTTAGGGATGTTTACATTCAAGTCACAGAGTTGAACATTCCCTTTCACAGAGCAGGTTTGAAACAATCTTCTCGTAGTATCTGGAAGTGGACATTTTGAGCTCCTTGGGGCCTATGCTGAAAAAGGAAATATCTTCCGACAAAAACTAGACAGAAGCATTCGCAGAATCACGTTTGTGATGTGTGCACTCAACTGTCGGAATTGAACCTTTGTTTGGACAGAGCACTTTTGAAACACTCTTTTTGTAGAATCTGCAGGTGGATATTTGACTAGCTTTGAGGATTTCGTTGGAAACGGTAATGTCTTCAAAGAAAATCTAGACAGAAACATTCTCAGAAACACCTTCGTGATGTTTGCAATCAAGTCACAGAGTTGAACCTTCCGTTTCATAGAGCAGGTTGGAAACACTCTTTTTGTAGTATCTGGAAGTGGACATTTGGAGCGCTTTCAGGCCTATGGTGAAAAAGGAAATATCTTCCCATAAAAACGACATAGAAGCTATCTCAGGAACTTGTTTATGATGCATCCAATCAACTAACAGTGTTGAACCTTTGTACTGACAGAGCAGTGTGAAACACTCTTTTTTTTGGAATCTGCAAGTGGATATTTGGATCGCTTTGAGGATTTCGTTGGAAACGGGATGCAATATAAAACGTACACAGCAGCATATTCAGAAAATACTTTGCCATATTTCCATTCAAGTCACTCAGTGGAACATTCCCATTCATAGAGCAGGTTTGAAACAGTCTTTTTGGAGTATCTGGAAGTGGACATTTGGAGCGCTTTCTGAACTATGGTGAAAAAGGAAATATCTTCCAATGAAAACAAGACAGAAGCATTCTGAGAAACTTATTTGTGATGTGTGTCCTCAACAAACGGACTTGAACCTTTCGTTTCATGCAGTACTTCTGGAACACTCTTTTTGAAGATTCTGCATGCGGATATTTGGATAGCTTTGAGGATTTCGTTGGAAACGGGCTTACATGTAAAAATTAGACAGCAGCATTCTCAGAAACTTCTTTGTGGTGTCTGCATTCAAGTCACAGAATTGAACATCCCCTCACATAGAGCAGTTGTGCAGCACTCTATTTGTAGTATCTCGAAGTGGACATTTGGAGGGCTTTGTAGCCTATCTGGAAAAAGGAAATATCTTCCCATGAATGCGAGATAGAAGTAATCTCAGAAACATGTTTATGCTGTATCTACTCAACTAACTGTGCTGAACATTTCTATTGATAGAGCAGTTTTGAGACACTCTTCTTTTGGAATCTGCAAGTGGATATTTGGATAGATTTGAGGATTTCGTTGGAAACGGGATTATATATCAAAAGTAGACAGCAGCATTCTCAGAAACTTCTTTGTGATGTTTGCATCCAGCTCTCAGAGTTGAACATTCCCTTTCATAGAGTAGGTTTGAAACCCCCTTTTTATAGTGTCTGGAAGCGGGCATTTGGAGCGCTTTCAGGCCTATGCTGAAAAAGGAAATATCTACCTACAGAAACTAGACAGAAGCATTCTGAGAATCACGTTTGTGATGTGGGTACTCAACTAACAGTGTTGATCCATTCTTTTGATACAGCAGTTTTGAACCACCCTTTTTGTAGAATCTGCAAGTGGATATTTGGATAGCTGTGAGGATTTCGTTGGAAACGGGAATGTCTTCATAGAAAATTTAGACAGAAGCATTCTCAGAACCTGGATTGTGGTGTGTGTTCTCCACTAACAGAGTTGAACCTTTCTTTTGACAGAACTGTTTTGAAACATTCTTTTTATAGAATCTGGAAGTGGATATTTGGAAAGCTTTGAGGATTTCGTTAGAAACGGGAATATCTTCAAATAAAATCTAGCCAGAAGCATTCTAAGAAACATCTTAGGGATGTGTACATTCAAGTCACAGAGTTGAACATTCCCCTTTCTCAGAGCAGGTTTGAAACAATCTTCTCGTACTATCTGGCAGTGGACATTTTGAGCTCCTTGGGGCCTATGCTGAAAAAGGAAATATCTTCCGACAAAAACTAGACAGAAGCATTCGCAGAATCACGTTTGTGATGTGTGCACTCAACTGTCAGAATTGAACCTTGGTTTGGACAGAGCACTTTTGAAACACTCTTTTTGTAGAATCTGCAGGTGGATATTTGGCTAGCTTTGAGGATTTCGTTGGAAACGGTAATGTCTTCAAAGAAAATCTAGACAGAAGCATTCTCAGAAACACCTTCGTGATGTTTGCAATCAAGTCACAGAGTTGAACCTTCCGTTTCATAGAGCAGGTTGGAAACACTCTTTGTAGTATCTGGAAGTGGACATTTGGAGGGCTTTGTAGCCTATCTGGAAAAAGGAAATATCTTCCCATGAATGCGAGATAGAAGTAATCTCAGAAACATGTTTATGCTGTATCTACTCAACTAACTGTGCTGAACATTTCTGTTGATAGAGCAGTTTTGAGACACTCTTCTTTTGGAATCTGCAAGTGGATATTTGGATAGATTTGAGGATTTCGTTGGAAACGGGATTATATATCAAAAGTAGACAGCAGCATTCTCAGAAACTTCTTTGTGATGTTTGCATCCAGCTCTCAGAGTTGAACATTCCCTTTCATAGAGTAGGTTTGAAACCCTCTTTTTATAGTGTCTGGAAGCGGGCATTTGGAGCGCTTTCAGGCCTATGCTTAAAATAGGAAATATCTACCTACAGAAACTAGACAGAAGCATTCTGAGAATCACGTTTGTGATGTGGGTACTCAACTAACAGTGTTGATCCATTCTTTTGATACAGCAGTTTTGAACCACACTTTTTGTAGAATCTGCAAGTGGATATTTGGATAGCTGTGAGGATTTCGTTGGAAACGGGAATGTCTTCATAGAAAATTTAGACAGAAAGCATTCTCAGAACCTTGATTGTGATGTGTGTTCTCCACTAACAGAGTTGAACCTTTCTTTTGACAGAACTGTTTTGAAACATTCTTTTTATAGAATCTGGAAGTGGATATTTGGAAAGCTTTGAGGATTTCGTTGGAAACCGGGAATATCTTCAAATAAAATCTAGCCAGAGCATTCTAAGAAACATCTTAGGGATGTTTACATTCAAGTCACAGAGTTGAACATTCCCTTTCACAGAGCAGGTTTGAAACAATCTTCTCGTACTATCTGGCAGTGGACATTTTGAGCTCCTTGGGGCCTATGCTGAAAAAGGAAATATCTTCCGACAAAAACTAGACAGAAGCATTCGCAGAATCACGTTTGTGATGTGTGCACTCAACTGTCAGAATTGAACCTTGGTTTGGACAGAGCACTTTTGAAACACTCTTTTTGTAGAATCTGCAGGTGGATATTTGGCTAGCTTTGAGGATTTCGTTGGAAACGGTAATGTCTTCAAAGAAAATCTAGACAGAAGCATTCTCAGAAACACCTTCGTGATGTTTGCAATCAAGTCACAGAGTTGAACCTTCCGTTTCATAGAGCAGGTTGGAAACACTCTTTTTGTAGTATCTGGAAGTGGACATTTGGAGCACTTTCAGGCCTATGGTGAAAAAGGAAATATCTTCCCATAAAAACGACATAGAAGCTATCTCAGGAACTTGTTTATGATGCATCTAATCAACTAACAGTGTTGAACCTTTGTACTGACAGAGCAGTTTGAAACACTCTTTTTTTGGAATCTGCAAGTGGATATTTGGATCGCTTTGAGGATTTCGTTGGAAACGGGATGCAATATAAAACGTACACAGCAGCATACTCAGAAAGTACTTTGCCATATTTCCATTCAAGTCACAGAGTGGAACATTCCCATTCATAGAGCAGGTTGGAAACACTCTTTTTGGAGTATCTGGAAGTGGACATTTGGAGCGCTTTCTGAACTATGGTGGAAAAGGAAATATCTTCCAATGAAAACAAGACAGAAGCATTCTGAGAAACTTATTTGTGATGTGTGTCCTCAACAAACGGACTTGAACCTTTCGTTTCATGCAGTACTTCTGGAACACTCTTTTTGAAGATTCTGCATGCGGATATTTGGATTGCTTTGAGGATTTCGTTGGAAACGGGCTTACATGTAAAAATTAGACAGCAGCATTCTCAGAAACTTCTTTGTGGTGTCTGCATTCAAGTCACAGAATTGAACTTCCCCTCACATAGAGCAGTTGTGCAGCACTCTATTTGTAGTATCTGGAAGTGGACATTTGGAGGGCTTTGTAGCCTATCTGGAAAAAGGAAATATCTTCCCATGAATGCGAGATAGAAGTAATCTCAGAAACATGTTTATGCTGTATCTACTCAACTAACTGTGCTGAACATTTCTATTGATAGAGCAGTTTTGAGACACTCTTCTTTTGGAATCTGCAAGTGGATATTTGGATAGATTTGAGGATTTCGTTGGAAACGGGATTATATATCAAAAGTAGACAGCAGCATTCTCAGAAACTTCTTTGTGATGTTTGCATCCAGCTCTCAGAGTTGAACATTCCCTTTCATAGAGTAGGTTTGAAACCCTCTTTTTATAGTGTCTGGAAGCGGGCATTTGGAGCGCTTTCAGGCCTATGCTTAAAATAGGAAATATCTACCTACAGAAACTAGACAGAAGCATTCTGAGAATCACGTTTGTGATGTGGGTACTCAACTAACAGTGTTGATCCATTCTTTTGATACAGCAGTTTTGAACCACACTTTTTGTAGAATCTGCAAGAGGATATTTGGATAGCTGTGAGGATTTCGTTGGAAACGGGAATGTCTTCAAAGAAAATCTAGACAGAAACATTCTCAGAAACACCTTCGTGATGTTTGCAATCAAGTCACAGAGTTGAACCTTCCGTTTCATAGAGCAGGTTGGAAACACTCTTATTGTAGTATCTGGAAGTGGACATTTGGAGCGCTTTCAGGCCTATGGTGAAAAAGGAAATATCTTCCCATAAAAACAACATAGAAGCTATCTCAGGAACTTGTTTATGAGGCATCTAATCAACTAACAGTGTTGAACCTTTGTACTGACAGAGCAGTTTGAAACACTCTTTTTTTGGAATCTGCAAGTGGATATTTGGATCGCTTTGAGGATTTCGTTGGAAACGGGATGCAATATAAAACGTACACAGCAGCATACTCAGAAAATTCTTTGCCATATTTACATTCAAGTCACAGAGTGGAACATTCCCATTCATAGAGCAGGTTGGAAACACTCTTTTTGGAGTATCTGGAAGTGGACATTTGGAGCGCTTTCTGAACTATGGTGAAAAAGGAAATATCTTCCAATGAAAACAAGACAGAAGCATTCTGAGAAACTTATTTGTGATGTGTGTCCTCAACAAACGGACTTGAACCTTTCGTTTCATGCAGTACTTCTGGAACACTCTTTTTGAAGATTCTGCATGCGGATATTTGGATAGCTTTGAGGATTTCGTTGGAAACGGGCTTACATGTAAAAATTAGACAGCAGCATTCTCAGAAACTTCTTTGTGGTGTCTGCATTCAAGTCACAGAATTGAACATCCCCTCACATAGAGCAGTTGTGCAGCACTCTATTTGTAGTATCTGGAAGTGGACATTTGGAGGGCTTTGTAGCCTATGTGGAAAAAGGAAATATCTTCCCATGAATGCGAGATAGAAGTAATCTCAGAAACATGTTTATGCTGTACCTACTCAACTAACTGTGCTGAACATTTCTATTGATAGAGCAGTTTTGAGACACTTTTCTTTTGGAATCTGCAAGTGGATATTTGGATAGATTTGAGGATTTCGTTGGAAACGGGATTATATATAAAAAGTAGACAGCCGCATTCTCAGAAACTTCTTTGTGATGTTTGCATCCAGCTCTCAGAGTTGAACATTCCCTTTCATAGAGAAGGTTTGAAACCCTCTTTTTATAGTGTGTGGAAGTGGGCATTTGGAGCGCTTTCAGGCCTATGCTGAAAAAGGAAATATCTACCTATAGAAACTAGACAGAAGCATTCTGAGAATCACGTTTGTGATGTGGGTACTCAACTAACAGTGTTGATCCATTCTTTTGATACAGCAGTTTTGAACCACACTTTTTGTAGAATCTGCAAGTGGATATTTGGATAGCTGTGAGGATTTCCTTGGAAACGGGAATGTGTTCATAGAAAATTTAGACAGAAGCATTCTCAGAACCTTGATTGTGATGTGTGTTCTCCACTAACAGGGATGAACCTTTCTTTTGACAGAACTGTTCTGAAACATTCTTTGTATAGAATCTGGAAGTGGATATTTGGAAAGCTTTGAGGATTTCGTTGGAAACGGGAATATCTTCAAATCAAATCTAGCCAGAAGCATTCTAAGAAACATCTTAGGGATGTTTACATTCAAGTCACAGAGTTGAACATTCCCTTTCACAGAGCAGGTTTGAAACAATCTTCTCGTAGTATCTGGAAGTGGACATTTTGAGCTCCTTGGGGCCTATGCTGAAAAAGGAAATATCTTCCGACAAAAACTAGACAGAAGCATTCGCAGAATCACGTTTGTGATGTGTGCACTCAACTGTCAGAATTGAACCTTGGTTTGGACAGAGCACTTTTGAAACACTCTTTTTGTAGAATCTGCAGGTGGATATTTGGCTAGCTTTGAGGATTTCGTTGGAAACGGTAATGTCTTCAAAGAAAATCTAGACAGAAGCATTCTCAGAAACACCTTCGTGATGTTTGCAATCAAGTCACAGAGTTGAACCTTCCGTTTCATAGAGCAGGTTGGAAACACTCTTTTTGTAGTATCTGGAAGTGGACATTTGGAGGGCTTTGTAGCCTATGTGGAAAAAGGAAATATCTTCCCATGAATGCGAGATAGAAGCTATCTCAGGAACTTGTTTATGATGCATCTAATCAACTAACAGTGTTGAACCTTTGTACTGACAGAGCAGTTTGAAACACTCTTTTTTTGGAATCTGCAAGTGGATATTTGGATCGCTTTGAGGATTTCGTTGGAAACGGGATGCAATATAAAACGTACACAGCAGCATACTCAGAAAATACTTTGCCATATTTCCATTCAAGTCACAGAGTGGAACATTCCCATTCATAGAGCAGGTTGGAAACACTCTTTTTGGAGTATCTGGAAGTGGACATTTGGAGCGCTTTCTGAACTATGGTGAAAAAGGAAATATCTTCCAATGAAAACAAGACAGAAGCATTCTGAGAAACTTATTTGTGATGTGTGTCCTCAACAAACGGACTTGAACCTTTCGTTTCATGCAGTACTTCTGGAACACTCTTTTTGAAGATTCTGCATGCGGATATTTGGATAGCTTTGAGGATTTCGTTGGAAACGGGCTTATATGTAAAAATTAGACAGCAGCATTCTCAGAAACTTCTTTGTGGTGTCTGCATTCAAGTCACAGAATTGAACATCCCCTCACATAGAGCAGTTGTGCAGCACTCTATTTGTAGTATCTCGAAGTGGACATTTGGAGGGCTTTGTAGCCTATCTGGAAAAAGGAAATATCTTCCCATGAATGCGAGATAGAAGTAATCTCAGAAACATGTTTATGCTGTATCTACTCAACTAACTGTGCTGAACATTTCTATTGATAGAGCAGTTTTGAGACACTCTTCTTTTGGAATCTGCAAGTGGATATTTGGATAGATTTGAGGATTTCGTTGGCAACGGGATTATATATAAAAAGTAGACAGCAGCATTCTCAGAAACTTCTTTGTGATGTTTGCATCCAGCTCTCAGAGTTGAGCATTCCCTTTCATAGAGTAGGTTTGAAACCCTCTTTTTATAGTGTCTGGAAGCGGGCATTTGGAGCGCTTTCAGGCCTATGCTTAAAATAGGAAATATCTACCTACAGAAACTAGACAGAAGCATTCTGAGAATCACGTTTGTGATGTGGGTACTCAACTAACAGTGTTGATCCATTCTTTTGATACAGCAGTTTTGAACCACACTTTTTGTAGAATCTGCAAGTGGATATTTGGATAGCTGTGAGGATTTCGTTGGAAACGGGAATGTCTTCATAGAAAATTTAGACAGAAGCATTCTCAGAACCTTGATTGTGATGTGTGTTCTCCACTAACAGAGTTGAACCTTTCTTTTGACAGAACTGTTCTGAAACATTCTTTTTATAGAATCTGGAAGTGGATATTTGGAAAGCTTTGAGGATTTCGTTGGAAACGGGAATATCTTCAAATAAAATCTAGCCAGAAGCATTCTAAGAAACATCTTAGGGATGTTTACATTCAAGTCACAGAGTTGAACATTCCCTTTCACAGAGCAGGTTTGAAACAATCTTCTCGTACTATCTGGCAGTGGACATTTTGAGCTCCTTGGGGCCTATGCTGAAAAAGGAAATATCTTCCGACAAAAACTAGACAGAAGCATTCGCAGAATCACGTTTGTGATGTGTGCACTCAACTGTCAGAATTGAACCTTGGTTTGGACAGAGCACTTTTGAAACACTCTTTTTGTAGAATCTGCAGGTGGATATTTGGCTAGCTTTGAGGATTTCGTTGGAAACGGTAATGTCTTCAAAGAAAATCTAGACAGAAGCATTCTCAGAAACACCTTCGTGATGTTTGCAATCAAGTCACAGAGTTGAACCTTCCGTTTCATAGAGCAGGTTGGAAACACTCTTATTGTAGTATCTGGAAGTGGACATTTGGAGCGCTTTCAGGCCTATGGTGAAAAAGGAAATATCTTCCCATAAAAACGACATAGAAGCTATCTCAGGAACTTGTTTATGAGGCATCTAATCAACTAACAGTGTTGAACCTTTGTACTGACAGAGCAGTTTGAAACACTCTTTTTTTGGAATCTGCAAGTGGATATTTGGATCGCTTTGAGGATTTCGTTGGAAACGGGATGCAATATAAAACGTACACAGCAGCATACTCAGAAAATTCTTTGCCATATTTCCATTCAAGTCACAGAGTGGAACATTCCCATTCATAGAGCAGGTTGGAAACACTCTTTTTGGAGTATCTGGAAGTGGACATTTGGAGCGCTTTCTGAACTATGGTGAAAAAGGAAATATCTTCCAATGAAAACAAGACAGAAGCATTCTGAGAAACTTATTTGTGATGTGTGTCCTCAACAAACGGACTTGAACCTTTCGTTTCATGCAGTACTTCTGGAACACTCTTTTTGAAGATTCTGCATGCGGATATTTGGATAGCTTTGAGGATTTCGTTGGAAACGGGCTTACATGTAAAAATTAGACAGCAAGCATTCTCAGAAACTTCTTTGTGGTGTCTGCATTCAAGTCACAGAATTGAACATCCCCTCACTTAGAGCAGTTGTGCAGCACTCTATTTGTAGTATCTCGAAGTGGACATTTGGAGGGCTTTGTAGCCTATCTGGAAAAAGGAAATATCTTCCCATGAATGTGAGATAGAAGTAATCTCAGAAACATGTTTATGCTGTATCTACTCAACTAACTGTGCTGAACATTTCTATTGATAGAGCAGTTTTGAGACACTCTCCTGTTGGAATCTGCAAGTGGATATTTGGATAGATTTGAGGATTTCCTTGGAAACGTGATTATATATCAAAAGTAGACAGCAGCATTCTCAGAAACTTCTTTGTGAGTTTTGCATCCAGCTCTCAGAGTTGAACATTCCCTTTCGTGGAGTAGGTTTGAAACCCTCTTTTTATAGTGTCTGGAAGCGGGCATTTGGAGCGCTTTCAGGCCTATGCTGAAAAAGGAAATATCTACCTATAGAAACTAGACAGAAGCATTCTGAGAATCACGTTTGTGATGTGGGTACTCAACTAACAGTGTTGATCCATTCTTTTGATACAGCAGTTTTGAACCACACTTTTTGTAGAATCTGCAAGTGGATATTTGGATAGCTGTGAGGATTTCCTTGGAAACGGGAATGTCTTCATAGAAAATTTAGACAGAAGCATTCTCAGAACCTTGATTGTGATGTGTGTTCTCCACTAACAGGGTTGAACCTTTCTTTTGACAGAACTGTTCTGAAACATTCTTTGTATAGAATCTGGAAGTGCATATTTGGAAAGCTTTGAGGACTTCGTTTGAAACGGGAATATCTTCAAATCAAATCTAGCCAGAAGCATTCTAAGAAACATCTTAGGGATGTTTACATTCAAGTCACAGAGTTGAACATTCCCTTTCACAGAGCAGGTTTGAAACAATCTTCTCGTACTATCTGGCAGTGGACATTTTGAGCTCCTTGGGGCCTATGCTGAAAAAGGAAATATCTTCCGACAAAAACTAGACAGAAGCATATCGCAGAATCACGTTTGTGATGTGTGCACTCAACTGGTCAGAATTGAACACTTTGTTTGGACAGAGCACTTTTGAAACACTCTTTTTGTAGAATCTGCAGGTGGACATTTGGCTAGCTTTGAGGATTTCGTTGGAAACGGTAATGTCTTCAAAGAAAATCTAGACAGAAGCATTCTCAGAAACACCTTCGTGATGTTTGCAATCAAGTCACAGAGTTGAACCTTCCGTTTCATAGAGCAGGTTGGAAACACTCTTTTTGTAGTATCTGGAAGTGGACATTTGGAGGGCTTTGTAGCCTATCTGGAAAAAGGAAATATCTTCCCATGAATGCG
Source organism: Homo sapiens (assembly GCF_000001405.40). Classification (NCBI taxonomy): domain Eukaryota; kingdom Metazoa; phylum Chordata; class Mammalia; order Primates; family Hominidae; genus Homo; species Homo sapiens. The sequence continues at coordinate 45,649,749 of NC_000008.11, forward strand.
AGATAGAAGCTATCTCAGGAACTTGTTTATGAGGCATCTAATCAACTAACAGTGTTGAACCTTTGTACTGACAGAGCAGTTTGAAACACTCTTTTTTTGGAATCTGCAAGTGGATATTTGGATCGCTTTGAGGATTTCGTTGGAAACGGGATGCAATATAAAACGTACACAGCAGCATACTCAGAAAATTCTTTGCCATATTTCCATTCAAGTCACAGAGTGGAACATTCCCATTCATAGAGCAGGTTTGAAACACTCTTTTTGGAGTATCTGGAAGTGGACATTTGGAGCGCTTTCTGAACTATGGTGAAAAAGGAAATATCTTCCAATGAAAACAAGACAGAAGCATTCTGAGAAACTTATTTGTGATGTGTGTCCTCAACAAACGGACTTGAACCTTTCGTTTCATGCAGTACTTCTGGAACACTCTTTTTGAAGATTCTGCATGCGGATATTTGGATAGCTTTGAGGATTTCGTTGGAAACGGGCTTACATGTAAAAATTAGACAGCAGCATTCTCAGAAACTTCTTTGTGGTGTCTGCATTCAAGTCACAGAATTGAACTTCCCCTCACATAGAGCAGTTGTGCAGCACTCTATTTGTAGTATCTGGAAGTGGACATTTGGAGGGCTTTGTAGCCTATCTGGAAAAAGGAAATATCTTCCCATGAATGCGAGATAGAAGTAATCTCAGAAACATGTTTATGCTGTATCTACTCAACTAACTGTGCTGAACATTTCTATTGATAGAGCAGTTTTGAGACCCTCTTCTTTTGGAATCTGCAAGTGGATATTTGGATAGATTTGAGGATTTCGTTGGAAACGGGATTATATATAAAAAGTAGACAGCAGCATTCTCAGCAAACTTCTTTGTGATGTTTGCATCCAGCTCTCAGAGTTGAACATTCCCTTTCATAGAGTAGGTTTGAAACCCTCTTTTTATAGTGTCTGGAAGCGGGCATTTGGAGCGCTTTCAGGCCTATGCTGAAAAAGGAGATATCTACCTATAGAAACTAGACAGAAGCATTCTGAGAATCACGTTTGTGATGTGGGTACTCAACTAACAGTGTTGATCCATTCTTTTGATACAGCAGTTTTGAACCACACTTTTTGTAGAATCTGCAAGTGGATATTTGGATAGCTGTGAGGATTTCGTTGGAAACGGGAATGTCTTCATAGAAAATTTAGACAGAAGCATTCTCAGAACCTTGATTGTGATGTGTGTTCTCCACTAACAGAGTTGAAACTTTCTTTTGACAGAACTGTTCTGAAACATTCTTTTTATAGAATCTGGAAGTGGATATTTGGAAAGCTTTGAGGATTTCGTTGGAAACGGGAATATCTTCAAATCAAATCTAGCCAGAAGCATTCTAAGAAACATCTTAGGGATGTTTACATTCAAGTCACAGAGTTGAACATTCCCTTTCACAGAGCAGGTTTGAAACAATCTTCTCGTACTATCTGGCAGTGGACATTTTGAGCTCCTTGGGGCCTATGCTGAAAAAGGAAATATCTTCCGACAAAAACTAGACAGAAGCATTCGCAGAATCACGTTTGTGATGTGTGCACTCAACTGTCAGAATTGAACCTTGGTTTGGACAGAGCACTTTTGAAACACTCTTTTTGTAGAATCTGCAGGTGGATATTTGGCTAGCTTTGAGGATTTCGTTGGAAACGGTAATGTCTTCAAAGAAAATCTAGACAGAAACATTCTCAGAAACACCTTCGTGATGTTTGCAATCAAGTCACAGAGTTGAACCTTCCGTTTCATAGAGCAGGTTGGAAACACTCTTTTTGTAGTATCTGGAAGTGGACATTTGGAGCGCTTTCAGGCCTCTGGTGAAAAAGGAAATATCTTCCCATAAAAACGACATAGAATCTATATCAGGAACTTGTTTATGATGCATCTAATCAACTAACAGTGTTGAACCTTTGTACTGACAGAGCAGTTTGAAACACTCTTTTTTTGGAATCTGCAAGTGGATATTTGGATCGCTTTGAGGATTTCGTTGGAAACGGGATGCAATATAAAACGTACACAGCAGCATACTCAGAAAATACTTTGCCATATTTCCATTCAAGTCACAGAGTGGAACATTCCCATTCATAGAGCAGGTTTGAAACACTCTTTTTGGAGTATCTGGAAGTGGACATTTGGAGCGCTTTCTGAACTATGGTGAAAAAGGAAATATGTTCCAATGAAAACAAGACAGAAGCATTCTGAGAAACTTATTTGTGATGCGTGTCCTCAACTAACGGACTCGAAGCTTTGGTTTCATGCAGTACTTCTGGAACACTCTTTTTGAAGATTCTGCATGCGGATATTTGGATAGCTTTGAGGATTTCGTTGGAAACGGGCTTACATATAAAAATTAGACAGCAGCATTCTCAGAAACTTCTTTGTGGTGTCTGCATTCAAGTCACAGAATTGAACTTCCCCTCACATAGAGCAGTTGTGCAGCACTCTATTTGTAGTATCTGGAAGTGGACATTTGGAGGGCTTTGTAGCCTATCTGGAAAAAGGAAATATCTTCCCATGAATGCGAGATAGAAGTAATCTCAGAAACATGTTTATGCTGTATCTACTCAACTAACTGTGCTGAACATTTCTATTGATAGAGCAGTTTTGAGACACTCTTCTTTTGGAATCTGCAAGTGGATATTTGGATAGATTTGAGGATTTCGTTGGAAACGGGATTATATATAAAAAGTAGACAGCAGCATTCTCAGAAACTTCTTTGTGATGTTTGCATCCAGCTCTCAGAGTTGAACATTCCCTTTCATAGAGTAGGTTTGAAACCCTCTTTTTATAGTGTCTGGAAGCGGGCATTTGGAGCGCTTTCAGGCCTATGCTGAAAAAGGAAATATCTACCTATAGAAACTAGACAGAAGCATTCTGAGAATCACGTTTGTGATGTGGGTACTCAACTAACAGTGTTGATCCATTCTTTTGATACAGCAGTTTTGAACCACACTTTTTGTAGAATCTGCAAGTGGATATTTGGATAGCTGTGAGGATTTCGTTGGAAACGGGAATGTCTTCATAGAAAATTTAGACAGAAGCATTCTCAGAACCTTGATTGTGATGTGTGTTCTCCACTAACAGAGTTGAACCTTTCTTTTGACAGAACTGTTCTGAAACATTCTTTTTATAGAATCTGGAAGTGGATATTTGGAAAGCTTTGAGGATTTCGTTGGAAACGGGAATATCTTCAAATAAAATCTAGCCAGAAGCATTCTAAGAAACATCTTAGGGATGTTTACATTCAAGTCACAGAGTTGAACATTCCCTTTCACAGAGCAGGTTTGAAACAATCTTCTCGTACTATCTGGCAGTGGACATTTTGAGCTCCTTGGGGCCTATGCTGAAAAAGGAAATATCTTCCGACAAAAACTAGACAGAAGCATTCGCAGAATCACGTTTGTGATGTGTGCACTCAACTGTCAGAATTGAACCTTGGTTTGGACAGAGCACTTTTGAAACACTCTTTTTGTAGAATCTGCAGGTGGATATTTGGCTAGCTTTGAGGATTTCGTTGGAAACGGTAATGTCTTCAAAGAAAATCTAGACAGAAAGATTCTCAGAAACACCTTCGTGATGTTTGCAATCAAGTCACAGAGTTGAACCTTCCGTTTCATAGAGCAGGTTGGAAACACTCTTTTTGTAGTATCTGGAAGTGGACATTTGGAGCGCTTTCAGGCCTATGGTGAAAACGGAAATATCTTCCCATAAAAACGACATAGAAGCTATCTCAGGAACTTGTTTATGATGCATCCAATCAACTAACAGTGTTGAACCTTTGTACTGACAGAGCAGTGTGAAACACTCTTTTTTTTTGGAATCTGCAAGTGGATATTTGGATCGCTTTGAGGATTTCGTTGGAAACGGGATGCAATATAAAACGTACACAGCAGCATACTCAGAAAATACGTTGCCATATTTCCATTCAAGTCACAGAGTGGAACATTCCCATTCATAGAGCAGGTTTGACACACTCTTTTTGTAGTATCTGGAAGTGGACATTTGGAGCGCTTTCTGAACTATGGTGAAAAAGGAAATATCTTCCAATGAAAACAAGACAGAAGCATTCTGAGAAACTTATTTGTGATGTGTGTCCTCAACAAACGGACTTGAACCTTTCGTTTCATGCAGTACTTCTGGAACACTCTTTTTGAAGATTCTGCATGCGGATATTTGGATAGCTTTGAGGATTTCGTTGGAAACGGGCTTACATGTAAAAATTAGACAGCAGCATTCTCAGAAACTTCTTTGTGGTGTCTGCATTCAAGTCACAGAATTGAACTTCCCCTCACATAGAGCAGTTGTGCAGCACTCTATTTGTAGTATCTGGAAGTGGACATTTGGAGGGCTTTGTAGCCTATCTGGAAAAAGGAAATATCTTCCCATGAATGCGAGATAGAAGTAATCTCAGAAACATGTTTATGCTGTATCTACTCAACTAACTGTGCTGAACATTTCTATTGATAGAGCAGTTTTGAGACACTCTTCTTTTGGAATCTGCAAGTGGATATTTGGATAGATTTGAGGATTTCGTTGGAAACGGGATTATATATAAAAAGTAGACAGCAGCATTCTCAGAAACTTCTTTGTGATGTTTGCATCCAGCTCTCAGAGTTGAACATTCCCTTTCATAGAGTAGGTTTGAAACCCTCTTTTTATAGTGTCTGGAAGCGGGCATTTGGAGCGCTTTCAGGCCTATGCTTAAAATAGGAAATATCTACCTACAGAAACTAGACAGAAGCATTCTGAGAATCACGTTTGTGATGTGGGTACTCAACTAACAGTGTTGATCCATTCTTTTGATACAGCAGTTTTGAACCACACTTTTTGTAGAATCTGCAAGAGGATATTTGGATAGCTGTGAGGATTTCGTTGGAAACGGGAATGTCTTCAAAGAAAATCTAGACAGAAACATTCTCAGAAACACCTTCGTGATGTTTGCAATCAAGTCACAGAGTTGAACCTTCCGTTTCATAGAGCAGGTTGGAAACACTCTTATTGTAGTATCTGGAAGTGGACATTTGGAGCGCTTTCAGGCCTATGGTGAAAAAGGAAATATCTTCCCATAAAAACAACATAGAAGCTATCTCAGGAACTTGTTTATGAGGCATCTAATCAACTAACAGTGTTGAACCTTTGTACTGACAGAGCAGTTTGAAACACTCTTTTTTTGGAATCTGCAAGTGGATATTTGGATCGCTTTGAGGATTTCGTTGGAAACGGGATGCAATATAAAACGTACACAGCAGCATACTCAGAAAATTCTTTGCCATATTTCCATTCAAGTCACAGAGTGGAACATTCCCATTCATAGAGCAGGTTGGAAACACTCTTTTTGGAGTATCTGGAAGTGGACATTTGGAGCGCTTTCTGAACTATGGTGAAAAAGGAAATATCTTCCAATGAAAACAAGACAGAAGCATTCTGAGAAACTTATTTGTGATGTGTGTCCTCAACAAACGGACTTGAACCTTTCGTTTCATGCAGTACTTCTGGAACACTCTTTTTGAAGATTCTGCATGCGGATATTTGGATAGCTTTGAGGATTTCGTTGGAAACGGGCTTACATGTAAAAATTAGACAGCAGAATTCTCAGAAACTTCTTTGTGGTGTCTGCATTCAAGTCACAGAATTGAACTTCCCCTCATATAGAGCAGTTGTGCAGCACTCTATTTGTAGTATCTGGAAGTGGACATTTGGAGGGCTTTGTAGCCTATCTGGAAAAAGGAAATATCTTCCCATGAATGCGAGATAGAAGTAATCTCAGAAACATGTTTATGCTGTATCTACTCAACTAACTGTGCTGAACATTTCTATTGATAGAGCAGTTTTGAGACACTCTTCTTTTGGAATCTGCAAGTGGATATTTGGATAGATTTGAGGATTTCGTTGGAAACGGGATTATATATAAAAAGTAGACAGCAGCATTCTCAGAAACTTCTTTGTGATGTTTGCATCCAGCTCTCAGAGTTGAACATTCCCTTTCATAGAGTAGGTTTGAAACCCTCTTTTTATAGTGTCTGGAAGCGGGCATTTGGAGCGCTTTCAGGCCTATGCTGAAAAAGGAAATATCTACCTATAGAAACTAGACAGAAGCATTCTGAGAATCACGTTTGTGATGTGGGTACTCAACTAACAGTGTTGATCCATTCTTTTGATACAGCAGTTTTGAACCACACTTTTTGTAGAATCTGCAAGTGGATATTTGGATAGCTGTGACGATTTCGTTGGAAACGGGAATGTCTTCATAGAAAATTTAGACAGAAGCATTCTCAGAACCTTGATTGTGATGTGTGTTCTCCACTAACAGCAGTTGAACCTTTCTTTTGACAGAACTGTTCTGAAACATTCTTTTTATAGAATCTGGAAGTGGATATTTGGAAAGCTTTGAGGATTTCGTTGGAAACGGGAATATCTTCAAATCAAATCTAGCCAGAAGCATTCTAAGAAACATCTTAGGGATGTTTACATTCAAGTCACAGAGTTGAACATTCCCTTTCACAGAGCAGGTTTGAAACAATCTTCTCGTACTATCTGGAAGTGGACATTTTGAGCTCCTTGGGGCCTATGCTGAAAAAGGAAATATCTTCCGACAAAAACTAGACAGAAGCATTCGCAGAATCAAGTTTGTGATGTGTGCACTCAACTGTCAGAATTGAACCTTTGTTTGGACAGAGCACTTTTGAAACACTCTTTTTGAAGAATCTGCAGGTGGATATTTGGCTAGCTTTGAGGATTTCGTTGGAAACGGTAATGTCTTCAAAGAAAATCTAGACAGAAACATTCTCAGAAACACCTTCGTGATGTTTGCAATCAAGTCACAGAGTTGAACCTTCCGTTTCATAGAGCAGGTTGGAAACACTCTTTTTGTAGTATCTGGAAGTGGACATTTGGAGCGCTTTCAGGCCTATGGTGAAAAAGGAAATATCTTCCCATAAAAACGACATAGAATCTATATCAGGAACTTGTTTATGATGCATCTAATCAACTAACAGTGTTGAACCTTTGTACTGACAGAGCAGTTTGAAACACTCTTTTTTTGGAATCTGCAAGTGGATATTTGGATCGCTTTGAGGATTTCGTTGGAAACGGGATGCAATATAAAACGTACACAGCAGCATACTCAGAAAATACTTTGCCATATTTCCATTCAAGTCACAGAGTGGAACATTCCCATTCATAGAGCAGGTTGGAAACACTCTTTTTGGAGTATCTGGAAGTGGACATTTGGAGCGCTTTCTGAACTATGGTGAAAAAGGAAATATCTTCCAATGAAAACAAGACAGAAGCATTCTGAGAAACTTATTTGTGATGTGTGTCCTCAACAAACGGACTTGAACCTTTCGTTTCATGCAGTACTTCTGGAACACTCTTTTTGAAGATTCTGCATGCGGATATTTGGATAGCTTTGAGGATTTCGTTGGAAACGGGCTTACATGTAAAAATTAGACAGCAGCATTCTCAGAAACTTCTTTGTGGTGTCTGCATTCAAGTCACAGAATTGAACTTCCCCTCACATAGAGCAGTTGTGCAGCACTCTATTTATAGTATCTGGAAGTGGACATTTGGAGGGCTTTGTAGCCTATCTGGAAAAAGGAAATATCTTCCCATGAATGCGAGATAGAAGTAATCTCAGAAACATGTTTATGCTGTATGTACTCAACTAACTGTGCTGAACATTTCTATTGATAGAGCAGTTTTGAGACACTCTTCTTTTGGAATCTGCAAGTGGATATTTGGATAGATTTGAGGATTTCGTTGGAAACGGGATTATATATCAAAAGTAGACAGCAGCATTCTCAGAAACTTCTTTGTGATGTTTGCATCTAGCTCCCAGAGTTGAACATTCCCTTTCATAGAGTAGTTTTGAAACCCTCTTTTTATAGTGTCTGGAAGCGGGCATTTGGAGCGCTTTCAGGCCTATGCTGAAAAAGGAAATATCTACCTATAGAAACTAGACAGAAGCATTCTGAGAATCACGTTTGTGATGTGGGTACTCAACTAACAGTGTTGATCCATTCTTTTGATACAGCAGTTTTGAACCACACTTTTTGTAGAATCTGCAAGTGGATATTTGGATAGCTGTGAGGATTTCGTTGGAAACGGGAATGTCTTCATAGAAAATTTAGACAGAAGCATTCTCAGAACCTTGATTGTGATGTGTGTTCTCCACTAACAGAGTTGAACCTTTCTTTTGACAGAACTGTTCTGAAACATTCTTTTTATAGAATCTGGAAGTGGATATTTGGAAAGCTTTGAGGATTTCGTTGGAAACGGGAATATCTTCAAATCAAATCTAGCCAGAAGCATTCTAAGAAACATCTTAGGGATGTTTACATTCAAGTCACAGAGTTGAACATTCCCTTTCACAGAGCAGGTTTGAAACAATCTTCTCGTACTATCTGGCAGTGGACATTTTGAGCTCCTTGGGGCCTATGTTGAAAAAGGAAATATCTTCCGACAAAAACTAGACAGAAGCATTCGCAGAATCACGTTTGTGATGTGTGCACTCAACTGTCAGAATTGAACCTTGGTTTGGACAGAGCACTTTTGAAACACTCTTTTTGTAGAATCTGCAGGTGGATATTTGGCTAGCTTTGAGGATTTCGTTGGAAACGGTAATGTCTTCAAAGAAAATCTAGACAGAAGCATTCTCAGAAACACCTTCGTGATGTTTGCAATCAAGTCACAGAGTTGAACCTTCCGTTTCATAGAGCAGGTTGGAAACACTCTTTTTGTAGTATCTGGAAGTGGACATTTGGAGGGCTTTGTAGCCTATGTGGAAAAAGGAAATATCTTCCCATGAATGCGAGATAGAAGCTATCTCAGGAACTTGTTTATGATGCATCTAATCAACTAACAGTGTTGAACCTTTGTACTGACAGAGCAGTTTGAAACACTCTTTTTTTGGAATCTGCAAGTGGATATTTGGATCGCTTTGAGGATTTCGTTGGAAACGGGATGCAATATAAAACGTACACAGCAGCATACTCAGAAAATACTTTGCCATATTTCCATTCAAGTCACAGAGTGGAACATTCCCATTCATAGAGCAGGTTGGAAACACTCTTTTTGGAGTATCTGGAAGTGGACATTTGGAGCGCTTTCTGAACTATGGTGAAAAAGGAAATATCTTCCAATGAAAACAAGACAGAAGCATTCTGAGAAACTTATTTGTGATGTGTGTCCTCAACAAACGGACTTGAACCTTTCGTTTCATGCAGTACTTCTGGAACACTCTTTTTGAAGATTCTGCATGCGGATATTTGGATAGCTTTGAGGATTTCGTTGGAAACGGGCTTACATGTAAAAATTAGACAGCAGCATTCTCAGAAACTTCTTTGTGGTGTCTGCATTCAAGTCACAGAATTGAACATCCCCTCACATAGAGCAGTTGTGCAGCACTCTATTTGTAGTATCTGGAAGTGGACATTTGGAGGGCTTTGTAGCCTATGTGGAAAAAGGAAATATCTTCCCATGAATGCGAGATAGAAGTAATCTCAGAAACATGTTTATGCTGTATCTACTCAACTAACTGTGCTGAACATTTCTATTGATAGAGCACTTTTGAGACACTCTTCTTTTGGAATCTGCAAGTGGATATTTGGAGAGATTTGAGGATTTCGTTGGAAACGGGATTATATATAAAAAGTAGACAGCAGCATTCTCAGAAACTTCTTTGTGATGTTTGCATCCAGCTCTCAGAGTTGAACATTCCCTTTCATAGAGTAGGTTTGAAACCCTCTTTTTATAGTGTCTGGAAGCGGGCATTTGGAGCGCTTTCAGGCCTATGCTTAAAATAGGAAATATCTACCTACAGAAACTAGACAGAAGCATTCTGAGAATCACGTTTGTGATGTGGGTACTCAACTAACAGTGTTGATCCATTCTTTTGATACAGCAGTTTTGAACCACACTTTTTGTAGAATCTGCAAGAGGATATTTGGATAGCTGTGAGGATTTCGTTGGAAACGGGAATGTCTTCAAAGAAAATGCTAGACAGAAGCATTCTCAGAACCTTGATTGTGATGTGTGTTCTCCACTAACAGAGTTGAACCTTTCTTTTGACAGAACTGTTCTGAAACATTCTTTTTATAGAATCTGGAAGTGGATATTTGGAAAGCTTTGAGGATTTCGTTGGAAACGGGAATATCTTCAAATAAAATCTAGCCAGAAGCATTCTAAGAAACATCTTAGGGATGTTTACATTCAAGTCACAGAGTTGAACATTCCCTTTCACAGAGCAGGTTTGAAACAATCTTCTCGTACTATCTGGCAGTGGACATTTTGAGCTCCTTGGGGCCTATGCTGAAAAAGGAAATATCTTCCGACAAAAACTAGACAGAAGCATTCGCAGAATCACGTTTGTGATGTGTGCACTCAACTGTCAGAATTGAACCTTGGTTTGGACAGAGCACTTTTGAAACACTCTTTTTGTAGAATCTGCAGGTGGATATTTGGCTAGCTTTGAGGATTTCGTTGGAAACGGTAATGTCTTCAAAGAAAATCTAGACAGAAGCATTCTCAGAAACACCTTCGTGATGTTTGCAATCAAGTCACAGAGTTGAACCTTCCGTTTCATAGAGCAGGTTGGAAACACTCTTTTTGTAGTATCTGGAAGTGGACATTTGGAGGGCTTTGTAGCCTATGTGGAAAAAGGAAATATCTTCCCATGAATGCGAGATAGAAGCTATCTCAGGAACTTGTTTATGAGGCATCTAATCAACTAACAGTGTTGAACCTTTGTACTGACAGGAGCAGTTTGAAACACTCTTTTTTTGGAATCTGCAAGTGGATATTTGGATCGCTTTGAGGATTTCGTTGGAAACGGGATGCAATATAAAACGTACACAGCAGCATACTCAGAAAATTCTTTGCCATATTTCCATTCAAGTCACAGAGTGGAACATTCCCATTCATAGAGCAGGTTGGAAACACTCTTTTTGGAGTATCTGGAAGTGGACATTTGGAGCGCTTTCTGAACTATGGTGAAAAAGGAAATATCTTCCAATGAAAACAAGACAGAAGCATTCTGAGAAACTTATTTGTGATGTGTGTCCTCAACAAACGGACTTGAACCTTTCGTTTCATGCAGTACTTCTGGAACACTCTTTTTGAAGATTCTGCATGCGGATATTTGGATAGCTTTGAGGATTTCGTTGGAAACGGGCTTACATGTAAAAATTAGACAGCAGCATTCTCAGAAACTTCTTTGTGGTGTCTGCATTCAAGTCACAGAATTGAACTTCCCCTCCCATAGAGCAGTTGTGCAGCACTCTATTTGTAGTATCTGGAAGTGGACATTTGGAGGGCTTTGTAGCCCATCTGGAAAAAGGAAATATCTTCCCATGAATGCGAGATAGAAGTAATCTCAGAAACATGTTTATGCTGTATCTACTCAACTAACTGTGCTGAACATTTCTATTGATAGAGCAGTTTTCAGACACTCTTCTTTTGGAATCTGCAAGTGGATATTTGGATAGATTTGAGGATTTCGTTGGAAACGGGATTATATATAAAAAGTAGACAGCAGCATTCTCAGAAACTTCTTTGTGATGTTTGCATCCAGCTCTCAGAGTTGAACATTCCCTTTCATAGAGTAGGTTTGAAACCCTCTTTTTATAGTGTCTGCAAGCGGGCATTTGGAGCGCTTTCAGGCCTATGCTTAAAATAGGAAATATCTACCTACAGAAACTAGACAGAAGCATTCTGAGAATCACGTTTGTGATGTGGGTACTCAACTAACAGTGTTGATCCTTTCTTTTGATACAGCAGTTTTGAACCACACTTTTTGTAGAATCTGCAATAGGATATTTGGATAGCTGTGAGGATTTCGTTGGAAACGGGAATGTCTTCAAAGAAAATCTAGACAGAAGCATTCTCAGAACCTTGATTGTGATGTGTGTTCTCCACTAACAGAGTTGAACCTTTCTTTTGACAGAACTGTTCTGAAACATTCTTTTTATAGAATCTGGAAGTGGATATTTGGAAAGCTTTGAGGATTTCGTTGGAAACGGGAATATCTTCAAATAAAATCTAGCCAGAAGCATTCTAAGAAACATCTTAGGGATGTTTACATTCAAGTCACAGAGTTGAACATTCCCTTTCACAGAGCAGGTTTGAAACAATCTTCTCGTACTATCTGGCAGTGGACATTTTGAGCTCCTTGGGGCCTATGCTGAAAAAGGAAATATCTTCCGACAAAAACTAGACAGAAGCATTCGCAGAATCACGTTTGTGATGTGTGCACTCAACTGTCAGAATTGAACCTTGGTTTGGACAGAGCACTTTTGAAACACTCTTTTTGTGGAATCTGCAGGTGGATATTTGGCTAGCTTTGAGGATTTCGTTGGAAACGGTAATGTCTTCAAAGAAAATCTAGACGGAAGCATTCTCAGAAACACCTTCGTGATGTTTGCAATCAAGTCACAGAGTTGAAACTTCCATTTCATAGAGCAGGTTGGAAACACTCTTTTTGTAGTATCTGGAAGTGGACATTTGGAGGGCTTTGTAGCCTATCTGGAAAAAGGAAATATCTTCCCATGAATGCGAGATAGAAGCTATCTCAGGAACTTGTTTATGATGCATCTAACCAACTAACAGTGTTGAACCTTTGTACTGACAGAGCAGTTTGAAACACTCTTTTTTTGGAATCTGCAAGTGGATATTTGGATCGCTTTGAGGATTTCGTTGGAAACGGGATGCAATATAAAACGTACACAGCAGCATACTCAGAAAATACTTTGCCATATTTCCATTCAAGTCACAGAGTGGAACATTCCCATTACTAGAGCAGGTTGGAAACACTCTTTTTGGAGTATCTGGAAGTGGACATTTGGAGCGCTTTCTGAACTATGGTGAAAAAGGAAATATCTTCCAATGAAAACAAGACAGAAGCATTCTGAGAAACTTATTTGTGATGTGTGTCCTCAACAAACGGACTTGAACCTTTCGTTTCATGCAGTACTTCTGGAACACTCTTTTTGAAGATTCTGCATGCGGATATTTGGATAGCTTTGAGGATTTCGTTGGAAACGGGCTTACATGTAAAAATTAGACAGCAGCATTCTCAGAAACTTCTTTGTGGTGTCTGCATTCAAGTCACAGAATTGAACTTCCCCTCACATAGAGCAGTTGTGCAGCACTCTATTTGTAGTATCTGGAAGTGGACATTTGGAGGGCTTTGTAGCCTATCTGGAAAAAGGAAATATCTTCCCATGAATGCGAGATAGAAGTAATCTGAGAAACATGTTTATGCTGTATCTACTCAACTAACTGTGCTGAACATTTCTATTGATAGAGCATTTTGAGACACTCTTCTTTTGGAATCTGCAAGTGGATATTTGGATAGATTTGAGGATTTCGTTGGAAACGGGATTATATATAAAAAGTAGACAGCAGCATTCTCAGAAACTTCTTTGTGATGTTTGCATCCAGCTCTCAGAGTTGAACATTCCCTTTCATAGAGTAGGTTTGAAACCCTCTTTTTATAGTGTCTGGAAGCGGGCATTTGGAGCGCTTTCAGGCCTATGCTTAAAATAGGAAATATCTACCTACAGAAACTAGACAGAAGCATTCTGAGAATCACGTTTGTGATGTGGGTACTCAACTAACAGTGTTGATCCATTCTTTTGATACAGCAGTTTTGAACCACACTTTTTGTAGAATCTGCAAGAGGATATTTGGATAGCTGTGAGGATTTCGTTGGAAACGGGAATGTCTTCAAAGAAAATCTAGACAGAAACATTCTCAGAAACACCTTCGTGATGTTTGCAATCAAGTCACAGAGTTGAACCTTCCGTTTCATAGAGCAGGTTGGAAACACTCTTATTGTAGTATCTGGAAGTGGACATTTGGAGCGCTTTCAGGCCTATGGTGAAAAAGAAATATCTTCCCATAAAAACGACATAGAAGCTATCTCAGGAACTTGTTTATGATGCATCTAATCAACTAACAGTGTTGAACCTTTGTACTGACAGAGCAGTTTGAAACACTCTTTTTTTGGAATCTGCAAGTGGATATTTGGATCGCTTTGAGGATTTCGTTGGAAACGGGATGCAATATAAAACGTACACAGCAGCATACTCAGAAAATACTTTGCCATATTTCCATTCAAGTCACAGAGTGGAACATTCCCATTCATAGAGCAGGTTGGAAACACTCTTTTTGGAGTATCTGGAAGTGGACATTTGGAGCGCTTTCTGAACTATGGTGAAAAAGGAAATATCTTCCAATGAAAACAAGACAGAAGCATTCTGAGAAACTTCTTTGTGATGTGTGTCCTCAACAAACGGACTTGAACCTTTCGTTTCATGCAGTACTTCTGGAACACTCTTTTTGAAGATTCTGCATGCGGATATTTGGATAGCTTTGAGGATTTCGTTGGAAACGGGCTTACATGTAAAAATTAGACAGCAGCATTCTCAGGAAACTTCTTTGTGGTGTCTGCATTCAAGTCACAGAATTGAACATCTCCTCACATAGAGCAGTTGTGCAGCACTCTATTTGTAGTATCTCGAAGAGGACATTTGGAGGTCTTTGTAGCCTATCTGGAAAAAGGAAATATCTTCCCATGAATGCGAGATAGAAGTAATCTCAGAAACATGTTTATGCTGTATCTACTCAACTAACTGTGCTGAACATTTCTATTGATAGAGCAGTTTTGAGACACTCTTCTTTTGGAATCTGCAAGTGGATATTTGGATAGATTTGAGGATTTCGTTGGAAACGGGATTATATATAAAAAGTAGACAGCCGCATTCTCAGAAACTTCTTTGTGATGTTTGCATCCAGCTCTCAGAGTTGAACATTCCCTTTCATAGAGTAGGTTTGAAACCCTCTTTTTATAGTGTCTGGAAGCGGGCATTTGTAGCGCTTTCAGGCCTATGCTGAAAAAGGAAATATCTACCTATAGAAACTAGACAGAAGCATTCTGAGAATCACGTTTGTGATGTGGGTACTCAACTAACAGTGTTGATCCATTCTTTTGATACAGCAGTTTTGAACCACACTTTTTGTAGAATCTGCAAGTGGATATTTGGATAGCTGTGAGGATTTCCTTGGAAACGGGAATGTCTTCATAGAAAATTTAGACAGAAGCATTCTCAGAACCTTGATTGTGATGTGTGTTCTCCACTAACAGAGTTGAACCTTTCTTTTGACAGAACTGTTCTGAAACATTCTTTTTATAGAATCTGGAAGTGGATATTTGGAAAGCTTTGAGGATTTCGTTGGAAACGGGAATATCTTCAAATAAAATCTAGCCAGAAGCATTCTAAGAAACATATTAGGGATGTTTACATTCAAGTCACAGAGTTGAACATTCCCTTTCACAGAGCAGGTTTGAAACAATCTTCTCGTACTATCTGGAAGTGGACATTTTGTGCTCCTTGGGGCCTATGCTGAAAAAGGAAATATCTTCCGACAAAAACTAGACAGAAGCATTCGCAGAATCACGTTTGTGATGTGTGCACTCAACTGTCAGAATTGAACCTTGGTTTGGACAGAGCACTTTTGAAACACTCTTTTTGTAGAATCTGCAGGTGGATATTTGGCTAGCTTTGAGGATTTCGTTGGAAACGGTAATGTCTTCAAAGAAAATCTAGACAGAAGCATTCTCAGAAACACCTTCGTGATGTTTGCAATCAAGTCACAGAGTTGAACCTTCCGTTTCATAGAGCAGGTTGGAAACACTCTTTTTGTAGTATCTGGAAGTGGACATTTGGAGGGCTTTGTAGCCTATGTGGAAAAAGGAAATATCTTCCCATGAATGCGAGATAGAAGGTATCTCAGGAACTTGTTTATGATGCATCTAATCAACTAACAGTGTTGAACCTTTGTACTGACAGAGCACTTTGAAACACTCTTTTTTTGGAATCTGCAAGTGGATATTTGGATCGCTTTGAGGATTTCGTTGGAAACGGGATGCAATATAAAACGTACACAGCAGCATACTCAGAAAATACTTTGCCATATTTCCATTCAAGTCACAGAGTGGAACATTCCCATTCATAGAGCAGGTTGGAAACACTCTTTTTGGAGTATCTGGAAGTGGACATTTGGAGCGCTTTCTGAACTATGGTGAAAAAGGAAATATCTTCCAATGAAAACAAGACAGAAGCATTCTGAGAAACTTATTTGTGATGTGTGTCCTCAACAAACGGACTTGAACCTTTCGTTTCATGCAGTACTTCTGGAACACTCTTTTTGAAGATTCTGCATGCGGATATTTGGATAGCTTTGAGGATTTCGTTGGAAACGGGCTTACATGTAAAAATTAGACAGCAGCAT
This sequence comes from Homo sapiens, assembly GCF_000001405.40. Classification (NCBI taxonomy): domain Eukaryota; kingdom Metazoa; phylum Chordata; class Mammalia; order Primates; family Hominidae; genus Homo; species Homo sapiens. The sequence goes on from NC_000008.11 coordinate 45,666,060, forward strand.
TCTCAGAAACTTCTTTGTGGTGTCTGCATTCAAGTCACAGAATTGAACTTCCCCTCACATAGAGCAGTTGTGCAGCACTCTATTTGTAGTATCTGGAAGTGGACATTTGGAGGGCTTTGTAGCCTATCTGGAAAAAGGAAATATCTTCCCATGAATGCGAGATAGAAGTAATCTCAGAAACATGTTTATGCTGTATCTACTCAACTAACTGTGCTGAACATTTCTATTGATAGAGCAGTTTTGAGACACTCTTCTTTTGGAATCTGCAAGTGGATATTTGGATAGATTTGAGGATTTCGTTGGAAACGGGATTATATATAAAAAGTAGACAGCAGCATTCTCAGAAACTTCTTTGTGATGTTTGCATCCAGCTCTCAGAGTTGAACATTCCCTTTCATAGAGTAGGTTTGAAACCCTCTTTTTATAGTGTCTGGAAGCGGGCATTTGGAGCGCTTTCAGGCCTATGCTGAAAAAGGAAATATCTACCTATAGAAACTAGACAGAAGCATTCTGAGAATCACGTTTGTGATGTGGGTACTCAACTAACAGTGTTGATCCATTCTTTTGATACAGCAGTTTTGAACCACACTTTTTGTAGAATCTGCAAGTGGATATTTGGATAGCTGTGAGGATTTCGTTGGAAACGGGAATGTCTTCATAGAAAATTTAGACAGAAGCATTCTCAGAACCTTGATTGTGATGTGTGTTCTCCACTAACAGAGTTGAACCTTTCTTTTGACAGAACTGTTCTGAAACATTCTTTTTATAGAATCTGGAAGTGGATATTTGGAAAGCTTTGAGGATTTCGTTGGAAACGGGAATATCTTCAAATAAAATCTAGCCAGAAGCATTCTAAGAAACATCTTAGGGATGTTTACATTCAAGTCACAGAGTTGAACATTCCCTTTCACAGAGCAGGTTTGAAACAATCTTCTCGTACTATCTGGCAGTGGACATTTTGAGCTCCTTGGGGCCTATGCTGAAAAAGGAAATATCTTCCGACAAAAACTAGACAGAAGCATTCGCAGAATCACGTTTGTGATGTGTGCACTCAACTGTCAGAATTGAACCTTTGTTTGGACAGAGCACATTTGAAACACTCTTTTTGTAGAATCTGCAGGTGGATATTTGGCTAGCTTTGAGGTTTTCGTTGGAAACGGTAATGTCTTCAAAGAAAATCTAGACAGAAGCATTCTCAGAAACACCTTCGTGATGTTTGCAATCAAGTCACAGAGTTGAACCTTCCGTTTCATAGAGCAGGTTGGAAACACTCTTTTTGTAGTATCTGGAAGTGGACATTTGGAGCGCTTTCAGGCCTATGGTGAAAAAGGAAATATCTTCCCATAAAAACGACATAGAAGCTATCTCAGGAACTTGTTTATGATGCATCTAATCAACTAACAGTGTTGAACCTTTGTACTAACAGAGCAGTTTGAAACACTCTTTTTTTGGAATCTGCAAGTGGATATTTGGATCGCTTTGAGGATTTCGTTGGAAACGGGATGCAATATAAAACGTACACAGCAGCATACTCAGAAAATACTTTGCCATATTTCCATTCAAGTCACAGAGTGGAACATTCCCATTCATAGAGCAGGTTGGAAACACTCTTTTTGGAGTATCTGGAAGTGGACATTTGGAGCGCTTTCTGAACTATGGTGAAAAAGGAAATATCTTCCAATGAAAACAAGACAGAAGCATTCTGAGAAACTTATTTGTGATGTGTGTCCTCAACTAACGGACTTGAACCTTTCGTTTCATGCAGTACTTCTGGAACACTCTTTTTGAAGATTCTGCATGCGGATATTTGGATAGCTTTGAGGATTTCGTTGGAAACGGGCTTACATATAAAAACTAGACAGCAGCATTCTCAGAAACTTCTTTGTGGTGTCTGCATTCAAGTCACAGAATTGAACTTCCCCTCACATAGAGCAGTTGTGCAGCACTCTATTTGTAGTATCTGGAAGTGGACATTTGGAGGGCTTTGTAGCCTATCTGGAAAAAGGAAATATCTTCCCATGAATGCGAGATAGAAGTAATCTCAGAAACATGTTTATGCTGTATCTACTCAACTAACTGTGCTGAACATTTCTATTGATAGAGCAGTTTTGAGACACTCTTCTTTTGGAATCTGCAAGTGGATATTTGGATAGATTTGAGGATTTCGTTGGAAACGGGATTATATATAAAAAGTAGACAGCAGCATTCTCAGAAACTTCTTTGTGATGTTTGCATCCAGCTCTCAGAGTTGAACATTCCCTTTCATAGAGTAGGTTTGAAACCCTCTTTTTATAGTGTCTGGAAGCGGGCATTTGGAGCGCTTTCAGGCCTATGCTGAAAAAGGAAATATCTACCTATAGAAACTAGACAGAAGCATTCTGAGAATCACGTTTGTGATGTGGGTACTCAACTAACAGTGTTGATCCATTCTTTTGATACAGCAGTTTTGAACCACACTTTTTGTAGAATCTGCAAGTGGATATTTGGATAGCTGTGAGGATTTCGTTGGAAACGGGAATGTCTTCATAGAAAATTTAGACAGAAGCATTCTCAGAACCTTGATTGTGATGTGTGTTCTCCACTAACAGAGTTGAACCTTTCTTTTGACAGAACTGTTCTGAAACATTCTTGTTATAGAATCTGGAAGTGGATATTTGGAAAGCTTTGAGGATTTCGTTGGAAACGGGAATATCTTCAAATCAAATCTAGCCAGAAGCATTCTAAGAAACATCTTAGGGATGTTTACATTCAAGTCACAGAGTTGAACATTCCCTTTCACGGAGCAGGTTTGAAACAATCTTCTCGTACTATCTGGCAGTGGACATTTTGAGCTCTTTGGGGCCTATGCTGAAAAAGGAAATATCTTCCGACAAAAACTAGACAGAAGCATTCGCAGAATCACGTTTGTGATGTGTGCACTCAACTGTCAGAATTGAACCTTGGTTTGGAGAGAGCACTTTTGAAACACTCTTTTTGTAGAATCTGCAGGTGGATATTTGGCTAGCTTTGAGGATTTCGTTGGAAACGGTAATGTCTTCAAAGAAAATCTAGACAGAAAACATTCTCAGAAACACCTTCGTGATGTTTGCAATCAAGTCACAGAGTTGAACCTTCCGTTTCATAGAGCAGGTTGGAAACACTCTTATTGTAGTATCTGGAAGTGGACATTTGGAGCGCTTTCAGGCCTATGGTGAAAAAGGAAATATCTTCCCATAAAAACGACATAGAAGCTATCTCAGGAACTTGTTTATGATGCATCTAATCAACTAACAGTGTTGAACCTTTGTACTGACAGAGCACTTTGAAACACTCTTTTTTTGGAATCTGCAAGTGGATATTTGGATCGCTTTGAGGATTTCGTTGGAAACGGGATGCAATATAAAACGTACACAGCAGCATACTCAGAAAATACTTTGCCATATTTCCATTCAAGTCACAGAGTGGAACATTCCCATTCATAGAGCAGGTTTGACATACTCTTTTTGTAGTATCTGGAAGTGGACATTTGGAGCGCTTTCTGAACTATGGTGAAAAAGGAAATATCTTCCAATGAAAACAAGACAGAAGCATTCTGAGAAACTTATTTGTGATGTGTGTCCTCAACAAACGGACTTGAACCTTTCGTTTCATGCAGTACTTCTGGAACACTCTTTTTGAAGATTCTGCATGCGGATATTTGGATAGCTTTGAGGATTTCGTTGGAAACGGGCTTACATGTAAAAATTAGACAGCAGCATTCTCAGAAACTTCTTTGTGGTGTCTGCATTCAAGTCACAGAATTGAACTTCCCCTCACATAGAGCAGTTGTGCAGCACTCTATTTGTAGTATCTGGAAGTGGACATTTGGAGGGCTTTGTAGCCTATCTGGAAAAAGGAAATATCTTCCCATGAATGCGAGATAGAAGTAATCTCAGAAACATGTTTATGCTGTATCTAATCAACTAACTGTGCTGAACATTTCTATTGATAGAGCAGTTTTGAGACACTCTTCTTTTGGAATCTGCAAGTGGATATTTGGATAGATTTGAGGATTTCGTTGGAAACGGGATTATATATAAAAAGTAGACAGCAGCATTCTCAGAAACTTCTTTGTGATGTTTGCATCCAGCTCTCAGAGTTGAACATTCCCTTTCATAGAGTAGGTTTGAAACCCTCTTTTTATAGTGTCTGGAAGCGGGCATTTGGAGCGCTTTCAGGCCTATGCTGAAAAAGGAAATATCTACCTATAGAAACTAGACAGAAGCATTCTGAGAATCACGTTTGTGATGTGGGTACTCAACTAACAGTGTTGATCCATTCTTTTGATACAGCAGTTTTGAACCACACTTTTTGTAGAATCTGCAAGTGGATATTTGGATAGCTGTGAGGATTTCGTTGGAAACGGGAATGTCTTCATAGAAAATTTAGACAGAAGCATTCTCAGAACCTTGATTGTGATGTGTGTTCTCCACTAACAGAGTTGAACCTTTCTTTTGACAGAACTGTTCTGAAACATTCTTGTTATAGAATCTGGAAGTGGATATTTGGAAAGCTTTGAGGATTTCGTTGGAAACGGGAATATCTTCAAATCAAATCTAGCCAGAAGCATTCTAAGAAACATCTTAGGGATGTTTACATTCAAGTCACAGAGTTGAACATTCCCTTTCACAGAGCAGGTTTGAAACAATCTTCTCGTACTATCTGGCAGTGGACATTTTGAGCTCCTTGGGGCCTATGCTGAAAAAGGAAATATCTTCCGACAAAAACTAGACAGAAGCATTCGCAGAATCACGTTTGTGATGTGTGCACTCAACTGTCAGAATTGAACCTTGGTTTGGAGAGAGCACTTTTGAAACACTCTTTTTGTAGAATCTGCAGGTGGATATTTGGCTAGCTTTGAGGATTTCGTTGGAAACGGTAATGTCTTCAAAGAAAATCTAGACAGAAGCATTCTCAGAAACACCTTCGTGATGTTTGCAATCAAGTCACAGAGTTGAACCTTCCGTTTCATAGAGCAGGTTGGAAACACTCTTATTGTAGTATCTGGAAGTGGACATTTGGAGCGCTTTCAGGCCTATGGTGAAAAAGGAAATATCTTCCCATAAAAACGACATAGAAGCTATCTCAGGAACTTGTTTATGAGGCATCTAATCAACTAACAGTGTTGAACCTTTGTACTGACAGAGCAGTTTGAAACACTCTTTTTTTGGAATCTGCAAGTGGATATTTGGATCGCTTTGAGGATTTCGTTGGAAACGGGATGCAATATAAAACGTACACAGCAGCATACTCAGAAAATTCTTTGCCATATTTCCATTCAAGTCACAGAGTGGAACATTCCCATTCATAGAGCAGGTTGGAAACACTCTTTTTGGAGTATCTGGAAGTGGACATTTGGAGCGCTTTCTGAACTATGGTGAAAAAGGAAATATCTTCCAATGAAAACAAGACAGAAGCATTCTGAGAAACTTATTTGTGATGTGTGTCCTCAACAAACGGACTTGAACCTTTCGTTTCATGCAGTACTTCTGGAACACTCTTTTTGAAGATTCTGCATGCGGATATTTGGATAGCTTTGAGGATTTCGTTGGAAACGGGCTTACATGTAAAAATTAGACAGCAGCATTCTCAGAAACTTCTTTGTGGTGTCTGCATTCAAGTCACAGAATTGAACTTCCCCTCACATAGAGCAGTTGTGCAGCACTCTATTTGTAGTATCTGGAAGTGGACATTTGGAGGGCTTTGTAGCCTATCTGGAAAAAGGAAATATCTTCCCATGAATGCGAGATAGAAGTAATCTCAGAAACATGTTTATGCTGTATCTACTCAACTAACTGTGCTGAACATTTCTATTGATAGAGCAGTTTTCAGACACTCTTCTTTTGGAATCTGCAAGTGGATATTTGGATAGATTTGAGGATTTCGTTGGAAACGGGATTATATATAAAAAGTAGACAGCAGCATTCTCAGAAAACTTCTTTGTGATGTTTGCATCCAGCTCCCAGAGTTGAACATTCCCTTTCATAGAGTAGGTTTGAAACCCTCTTTTTATAGTGTCTGGAAGCGGGCATTTGGAGCGCTTTCAGGCCTATGCTGAAAAAGGAAATATCTACCTATAGAAACTAGACAGAAGCATTCTGAGAATCACGTTTGTGATGTGGGTACTCAACTAACAGTGTTGATCCATTCTTTTGATACAGCAGTTTTGAACCACACTTTTTGTAGAATCTGCAAGTGGATATTTGGATAGCTGTGAGGATTTCGTTGGAAACGGGAATGTCTTCATAGAAAATTTAGACAGAAGCATTCTCAGAACCTTGATTGTGATGTGTGTTCTCCACTAACAGAGTTGAACCTTTCTTTTGACAGAACTGTTCTGAAACATTCTTTTTATAGAATCTGGAAGTGGATATTTGGAAAGCTTTGAGGATTTCGTTGGAAACGGGAATATCTTCAAATCAAATCTAGCCAGAAGCATTCTAAGAAACATCTTAGGGATATTTACATTCAAGTCACAGAGTTGAACATTCCCTTTCACAGAGCAGGTTTGAAACAACCTTCTCGTACTATCTGGCAGTGGACATTTTGAGCTCCTTGGGGCCTATGCTGAAAAAGGAAATATCTTCCGACAAAAACTAGACAGAAGCATTCGCAGAATCACGTTTGTGATGTGTGCACTCAACTGTCAGAATTGAACCTTGGTTTGGACAGAGCACTTTTGAAACACTCTTTTTGTAGAATCTGCAGGTGGATATTTGGCTAGCTTTGAGGATTTCGTTGGAAACGGTAATGTCTTCAAAGAAAATCTAGACAGAAGCATTCTCAGAAACACCTTCGTGATGTTTGCAATCAAGTCACAGAGTTGAACCTTCCGTTTCATAGAGCAGGTTGGAAACACTCTTTTTGTAGTATCTGGAAGTGGACATTTGGAGCGCTTTCAGGCCTATGGTGAAAAAGGAAATATCTTCCCATAAAAACGACATAGAAGCTATCTCAGGAACTTGTTTATGATGCATGTAATCAACTAACAGTGTTGAACCTTTGTACTGACAGAGCAGTTTGAAACACTCTTTTTTTGGAATCTGCAAGTGGATATTTGGATCGCTTTGAGGATTTCGTTGGAAACGGGATGCAATATAAAACGTACACAGCAGCATACTCAGAAAATACTTTGCCATATTTCCATTCAAGTCACAGAGTGGAACATTCCCATTCATAGAGCAGGTTTGAAACACTCTTTTTGGAGTATCTGGAAGTGGACATTTGGAGCGCTTTCTGAACTATGGTGAAAAAGGAAATATCTTCCAATGAAAACAACACAGAAGCATTCTGAGAAACTTATTTGTGATGTGTGTCCTCAACAAACGGACTTGAACCTTTCGTTTCATGCAGTACTTCTGGAACACTCTTTTTGAAGATTCTGCATGCGGATATTTGGATAGCTTTGAGGATTTCGTTGGAAACGGGCTTACATGTAAAAATTAGACAGCAGCATTCTCAGAAACTTCTTTGTGGTGTCTGCATTCAAGTCACAGAATTGAACTTCCCCTCACATAGAGCAGTTGTGCAGCACTCTATTTGTAGTATCTGGAAGTGGACATTTGGAGGGCTTTGTAGCCTATGTGGAAAAAGGAAATATCTTCCCATGAATGCGAGATAGAAGTAATCTCAGAAACATGTTTATGCTGTATCTACTCAACTAACTGTCCTGAACATTTCTATTGATAGAGCAGTTTTGAGACACTCTTCTTTTGGAATCTGCAAGTGGATATTTGGATAGATTTGAGGATTTCGTTGGAAACGGGATTATATATAAAAAGTAGACAGCAGCATTCTCAGAAACTTCTTTGTGATGTTTGCATCCAGCTCTCAGAGTTGAACATTCCCTTTCATAGAGTAGGTTTGAAACCCTCTTTTTATAGTGTCTGGAAGCGGGCATTTGGAGCGCTTTCAGGCCTATGCTTAAAATAGGAAATATCTACCTACAGAAACTAGACAGAAGCATTCTGAGAATCACGTTTGTGATGTGGGTACTCAACTAACAGTGTTGATCCATTCTTTTGATACAGCAGTTTTGAACCACACTTTTTGTAGAATCTGCAAGAGGATATTTGGATAGCTGTGAGGATTTCGTTGGAAACGGGGATGTCTTCAAAGAAAATCTAGACAGAAGCATTCTCAGAAACACCTTCGTGATGTTTGCAATCAAGTCACAGAGTTGAACCTTCCGTTTCATAGAGCAGGTTGGAAACACTCTTATTGTAGTATCTGGAAGTGGACATTTGGAGCGCTTTCAGGCCTATGGTGAAAAAGGAAATATATTCCCATAAAAACGACATAGAAGCTATCTCAGGAACTTGTTTATGATGCATCCAATCAACTAACAGTGTTGAACCTTTGTACTGACAGAGCAGTGTGAAACACTCTTTTTTTTGGAATCTGCAAGTGGATATTTGGATCGCTTTGAGGATTTCGTTGGAAACGGGATGCAATATAAAACGTACACAGCAGCATACTCAGAAAATACTTTGCCATATTTCCATTCAAGTCACAGAGTGGAACATTCCCATTCATAGAGCAGGTTGGAAACACTCTTTTTGGAGTATCTGGAAGTGGACATTTGGAGCGCTTTCTGAACTATGGTGAAAAAGGAAATATCTTCCAATGAAAACAAGACAGAAGCATTCTGAGAAACTTATTTGTGATGCGTGTCCTCAACTAACGTACTCAAACCTTTCGTTTCATGCAGTACTTCTGGAACACTCTTTTTGAAGATTCTGCATGCGGATATTTGGATAGCTTTGAGGATTTCGTTGGATACGGGCTTATATATAAAAATTAGACAGCAGCATTCTCAGAAACTTCTTTGTGGTGTCTGCATTCAAGTCACAGAATTGAACATCCCCTCACATAGAGCAGTTGTGCAGCACTCTATTTGTAGTATCTCGAAGTGGACATTTGGAGGGCTTTGTAGCCTATCTGGAAAAAGGGAATATCTTCCCATGAATGCGAGATAGAAGTAATCTCAGAAACATGTTTATGCTGTATCTACTCAACTAACTGTGCTGAACATTTCTATTGAAAGAGCAGTTTCGAGACACTCTTCTTTTGGAATCTGCAAGTGGATATTTGGCTAGATTTGAGGATTTCGTTGGAAACGGGATTATATATAAAAAGTAGACAGCAGCATTCTCAGAAACTTCTTTGTGATGTTTGCATCCAGCTCTCAGAGTTGAACATTCCCTTTCATAGAGTAGGTTGGAAACCCTCTTTTTATAGTGTCTGGAAGCGGGCATTTGGAGCGCTTTCAGGCCAATGCTGAAAAAGGAAATGTCTACCTATAGAAACTAGACAGAAGCATTCTGAGAATCTCGTTTGTGATGTGGGTACTCAACTAACAGTGTTGATCCATTCTATTGATACAGCAGTTTTGAACCACCCTTTTTGTAGAATCTGCAAGTGGATATTTGGATAGCTGTGAGGATTTCGTTGGAAACGGGAATGTCTTCATAGAAAATTTAGACAGAAGCATTCTCAGAACCTTGATTGTGATGTGTGTTCTCCACTAACAGAGTTGAACCTTTCTTTTGACAGAACTGTTTTGAAACATTCTTTTTATAGAATCTGGAAGTGGATATTGGGAAAGCTTTGAGGATTTCGTTGGAAACGGGAATATCTTCAAATCAAATCTAGCCAGAAGCATTCTAAGAAACATCTTAGGGATGTTTACATTCAAGTCACAGAGTTGAACATTCCCCTTTCTCAGAGCAGGTTTGAAACAATCTTCTCGTACTATCTGGCAGTGGACATTTTGAGCTCCTTGGGGCCTATGCTGAAAAAGGAAATATTCTTCCGACAAAAACTAGACAGAAGCATTCGCAGAATCACGTTTGTGATGTGTGCACTCAACTGTCAGAATTGAACCTTGGTTTGGACAGAGCACTTTTGAAACACTCTTTTTGTAGAATCTGCAGGTGGATATTTGGCTAGCTTTGAGGATTTCGTTGGAAACGGTAATGTCTTCAAAGAAAATCTAGACAGAAGCATTCTCAGAAACACCTTCGTGATGTTTGCAATCAAGTCACAGAGTTGAACCTTCCGTTTCATAGAGCAGGTTGGAAACACTCTTATTGTAGTATCTGGAAGTGGACATTTGGAGCGCTTTCAGGCCTATGGTGAAAAAGGAAATATCTTCCCATAAAAACGACATAGAAGCTATCTCAGGAACTTGTTTATGATGCATCTAATCAACTAAAAGTGTTGAACCTTTGTACTGACAGAGCAGTTTGAAACACTCTTTTTTTGGAATCTGCAAGTGGATATTTGGATCGCTTTGAGGATTTCGTTGGAAACCGGATGCAATATAAAACGTACACAGCAGCATACTCAGAAAATACTTTGCCATATTTCCATTCAAGTCACAGAGTGGAACATTCCCATTCATAGAGCAGGTTGGAAACACTCTTTTTGGAGTATCTGGAAGTGGACATTTGGAGCGCTTTCTGAACTATGGTGAAAAAGGAAATATCTTCCAATGAAAACAAGACAGAAGCATTCTGAGAAACTTATTTGTGATGTGTGTCCTCAACAAACGGACTTGAACCTTTCGTTTCATGCAGTACTTCTGGAACACTCTTTTTGAAGATTCTGCATGCGGATATTTGGATAGCTTTGAGGATTTCGTTGGAAACGGGCTTACATGTAAAAATTAGACAGCAGCATTCTCAGAAACTTCTTTGTGGTGTCTGCATTCAAGTCACAGAATTGAACTTCCCCTCACATAGAGCAGTTGTGCAGCACTCTATTTGTAGTATCTGGAAGTGGACATTTGGAGGGCTTTGTAGCCTATCTGGAAAAAGGAAATATCTTCCCATGAATGCGAGATAGAAGTAATCTCAGAAACATGTTTATGCTGTATCTACTCAACTAACTGTGCTGAACATTTCTATTGATAGAGCAGTTTTGAGACACTCTTCTTTTGGAATCTGCAAGTGGATATTTGGATAGATTTGAGGATTTCGTTGGAAACGGGATTATATATCAAAAGTAGACAGCAGCATTCTCAGAAACTTCTTTGTGATGTTTGCATCCAGCTCTCAGAGTTGAACATTCCCTTTCATAGAGTAGGTTTGAAGCCCTCTTTTTATAGTGTCTGGAAGCGGGCATTTGGAGCACTTTCAGGCCTATGCTGAAAAAGGAAATATCTACCTATAGAAACTAGACAGAAGCATTCTGAGAATCACGTTTGTGATGTGGGTACTCAACTAACAGTGTTGATCCATTCTTTTGATACAGCAGTTTTGAACCACACTTTTTGTAGAATCTGCAAGTGGATATTTGGATAGCTGTGAGGATTTCGTTGGAAACGGGAATGTCTTCATAGAAAATTTAGACAGAAGCATTCTCAGAACCTTGATTGTGATGTGTGTTCTCCACTAACAGAGTTGAACCTTTCTTTTGACAGAAATGTTCTGAAACATTCTTTTTATAGAATCTGGAAGTGGATATTTGGAAAGCTTTGAGGATTTCGTTGGAAACGAGAATATCTTCAAATAAAATCTAGCCAGAAGCATTCTAAGAAACATCTTAGGGATGTTTACATTCAAGTCACAGAGTTGAACATTCCCTTTCACAGAGCAGGTTTGAAACAATCTTCTCGTACTATCTGGCAGTGGACATTTTGAGCTCCTTGGGGCCTATGCTGAAAAAGGAAATATCTTCCGACAAAAACTAGACAGAAGCATTCGCAGAATCACGTTTGTGATGTGTGCACTCAACTGTCAGAATTGAACCTTGGTTTGGACAGAGCACTTTTGAAACACTCTTTTTGTAGAATCTGCAGGTGGATATTTGGCTAGCTTTGAGGATTTCGTTGGAAACGGTAATGTCTTCAAAGAAAATCTAGACAGAAACATCCTCAGAAACATCTTCGTGATGTTTGCAATCAAGTCACAGAGTTGAACCTTCCGTTTCATAGAGCAGGTTGGAAACACTCATTTTGTAGTATCTGGAAGTGGACATTTGGAGCGCTTTCAGGCCTATGGTGTAAAAGGAAATATCTTCCCATAAAAGCGACATAGAATCTATATCAGGAACTTGTTTATGATGCATCTAATCAACTAACAGTGTTGAACCTTTGTACTGACAGAGCAGTTTGAAACACTCTTTTTTTGGAATCTGCAAGTGGATATTTGGATCGCTTTGAGGATTTCGTTGGAAACGGGATGCAATATAAAACGTACACAGCAGCATACTCAGAAAATACTTTGCCATATTTCCATTCAAGTCACAGAGTGGAACATTCCCATTCATAGAGCAGGTTTGAAACACTCTTTTTGGAGTATCTGGAAGTGGACATTTGGAGCGCTTTCTGAACTATGGTGAAAAAGGAAATATCTTCCAATGAAAACAACACAGAAGCATTCTGAGAAACTTATTTGTGATGTGTGTCCTCAACAAACGGACTTGAACCTTTCGTTTCATGCAGTACTTCTGGAACACTCTTTTTGAAGATTCTGCATGCGGATATTTGGATAGCTTTGAGGATTTCGTTGGAAACGGGCTTACATGTAAAAATTAGACAGCAGCATTCTCAGAAACTTCTCTGTGGTGTCTGCATCCAAGTCACAGAATTGAACATCCCCTCACATAGAGCGGTTGTGCAGCACTCTATTTGTAGTATCTTGAAGTGGACATTTGGAGGGCTTTGTAGCCTATCTGGAAAAAGGAAATATCTTCCCATGAATGCGAGATAGAAGTAATCTCAGAAAACATGTTTATGCTGTATCTACTCAACTAACTGTGCTGAACATTTCTATTGATAGAGCAGTTTTGAGACACTCTTCTTTTGGAATCTGCAAGTGGATATTTGGATAGATTTGAGGATTTCGTTGGAAACGGGATTATATATAAAAAGTAGACAGCAGCATTCTCAGAAACTTCTTTGTGATGTTTGCATCCAGCTCTCAGAGTTGAACATTCCCTTTCATAGAGTAGGTTTGAAACCCTCTTTTTATAGTGTCTGGAAGCGGGCATTTGGAGCGCTTTCAGGCCTATGCTGAAAAAGGAAATATCTACCTATAGAAACTAGACAGAAGCATTCTGAGAATCACGTTTGTGATGTGGGTACTCAACTAACAGTGTTGATCCATTCTTTTGATACAGCAGTTTTGAACCACACTTTTTGTAGAATCTGCAAGTGGATATTTGGATAGCTGTGAGGATTTCGTTGGAAACGGGAATGTCTTCATAGAAAATTTAGACAGAAGCATTCTCAGAACCTTGATTGTGATGTGTGTTCTCCACTAACAGAGTTGAACCTTTCTTTTGACAGAACTGTTCTGAAACATTCTTTTTATAGAATCTGGAAGTGGATATTTGGAAAGCTTTGAGGATTTCGTTGGAAACGGGAATATCTTCAAATAAAATCTAGCCAGAAGCATTCTAAGAAACATCTTAGGGATGTTTACATTCAAGTCACAGATTTGAACATTCCCTTTCACAGAGCAGGTTTGAAACAATCTTCTCGTACTATCTGGAAGTGGACATTTTGTGCTCCTTGGGGCCTATGCTGAAAAAGGAAATATCTTCCGACAAAAACTAGACAGAAGCATTCGCAGAATCACTGTTTGTGATGTGTGCACTCAACTGTCAGAATTGAACCTTGGTTTGGAGAGAGCACTTTTGAAACACTCTTTTTGTAGAATCTGCAGGTGGATATTTGGCTAGCTTTGAGGATTTCGTTGGAAACGGTAATGTCTTCAAAGAAAATCTAGACAGAAACATTCTCAGAAACACCTTCGTGATGTTTGCAATCAAGTCACAGAGTTGAACCTTCCGTTTCATAGAGCAGGTTGGAAACACTCTTTTTGTAGTATCTGGAAGTGGACATTTGGAGCGCTTTCAGGCCTATGGTGAAAAAGGAAATATCTTCCCATAAAAACGACATAGAAGCTATCTCAGGAACTTGTTTATGATGCATCTAATCAACTAACAGTGTTGAACCTTTGTACTGACAGAGCAGTTTGAAACACTCTTTTTTTGGAATCTGCAAGTGGATATTTGGATCGCTTTGAGGATTTCGTTGGAAACGGGATGCAATATAAAACGTACACAGCAGCATACTCAGAAAATACTTTGCCATATTTCCATTCAAGTCACAGAGTGGAACATTCCCATTCATAGAGCAGGTTGGAAACACTCTTTTTGGAGTATCTGGAAGTGGACATTTGGAGCGCTTTCTGAACTATGGTGAAAAAGGAAATATCTTCCAATGAAAACAAGACAGAAGCATTCTGAGAAACTTATTTGTGATGTGTGTCCTCAACTAACGGACTTGAACCTTTCGTTTCACGCAGTACTTCTGGAACACTCTTTTTGAAGATTCTGCATGAGGATATTTGGATAGCTTTGAGGATTTCGTTGGAAACGGGCTTACATATGAAAATTAGACAGCAGCATTCTCAGAAACTTCTTTGTGGTGTCTGCATTCAAGTCACAGAATTGAACTTCCCCTCACATAGAGCAGTTGTGCAGCACTCTATTTGTAGTATCTGGAAGTGGACATTTGGAGGGCTTTGTAGCCTATCTGGAAAAAGGAAATATCTTCCCATGAATGCGAGATAGAAGTAATCTCAGAAACATGTTTATGCTGTATCTACTCAACTAACTGTGCTGAACATTTCTATTGATAGAGCAGTTTTGAGACCCTCTTCTTTTGGAATCTGCAAGTGGATATTTGGATAGATTTGAGGATTTCGTTGGAAACGGGATTATATATAAAAAGTAGACAGCAGCATTCTCAGAAACTTCTTTGTGATGTTTGCATCCAGCTCTCAGAGTTGAACATTCCCTTTCATAGAGTAGGTTTGAAACCCTCTTTTTATAGTGTCTGGAAGCGGGCATTTGGAGCGCTTTCAGGCCTATGCTTAAAATAGGAAATATCTACCTACAGAAACTAGACAGAAGCATTCTGAGAATCACGTTTGTGATGTGGGTACTCAACTAACAGTGTTGATCCATTCTTTTGATACAGCAGTTTTGAACCACACTTTTTGTAGAATCTGCAAGTGGATATTTGGATAGCTGTGAGGATTTCGTTGGAAACGGGAATGTCTTCATAGAAAATTTAGACAGAAGCATTCTCAGAACCTTGATTGTGATGTGTGTTCTCCACTAACAGAGTTGAACCTTTCTTTTGACAGAACTGTTCTGAAACATTCTTTTTATAGAATCTGGAAGTGGATATTTGGAAAGCTTTGAGGATTTCGTTGGAAACGGGAATATCTTCAAATCAAATCTAGCCAGAAGCATTCTAAGAAACATCTTAGGGATGTTTACATTCAAGTCACAGAGTTGAACATTCCCTTTCACAGAGCAGGTTTGAAACAATCTTCTCGTACTATCTGGCAGTGGACATTTTGAGCTCCTTGGGGCCTATGCTGAAAAAGGAAATATCTTCCGACAAAAACTAGACAGAAGCATTCGCAGAATCACGTTTGTGATGTGTGCACTCAACTGTCAGAATTGAACCTTGGTTTGGACAGAGCACTTTTGAAACACTCTTTTTGTAGAATCTGCAGGTGGATATTTAGCTAGCTTTGAGGATTTCGTTGGAAACGGTAATGTCTTCAAAGAAAATCTAGACAGAAGCATTCTCAGAAACACCTTCGTGATGTTTGCAATCAAGTCACAGAGTTGAACCTTCCGTTTCATAGAGCAGGTTGGAAACACTCTTATTGTAGTATCTGGAAGTGGACATTTGGAGCGCTTTCAGGCCTATGGTGAAAAAGGAAATATCTTCCCATAAAAACGACATAGAAGCTATCTCAGGAACTTGTTTATGATGCATCTAATCAACTAACAGTGTTGAACCTTTGTACTGACAGAGCAGTTTGAAACACTCTTTTTTTGGAATCTGCAAGTGGATATTTGGATCGCTTTGAGGATTTCGTTGGAAACGGGATGCAATATAAAACGTACACAGCAGCATACTCAGAAAATACTTTGCCATATTTCCATTCAAGTCACAGAGTGGAACATTCCCATTCATAGAGCAGGTTGGAAACACTCTTTTTGGAGTATCTGGAAGTGGACATTTGGAGCGCTTTCTGAACTATGGTGAAAAAGGAAATATCTTCCAATGAAAACAAGACAGAAGCATTCTGAGAAACTTATTTGTGATGTGTGTCCTCAACTAACGGACTTGAACCTTTCGTTTCATGCAGTACTTCTGGAACACTCTTTTTGAAGATTCTGCATGCGGATATTTGGATAGCTTTGAGGATTTCGTTGGAAACGGGCTTACATATAAAAATTAGACAGCAGCATTCTCAGAAACTTCTCTGTGGTGTCTGCATCCAAGTCACAGAATTGAACATCCCCTCACATAGAGCAGTTGTGCAGCACTCTATTTGTAGTATCTCGAAGTGGACATTTGGAGGGCTTTGTAGCCTATCTGGAAAAAGGAAATATCTTCCCATGAATGCGAGATAGAAGTAATCTCAGAAACATGTTTATGCTGTA